>NC_000009.12:103372067-103523582 GCF_000001405.40 Homo sapiens
AAATCCCACCACCATGAGAAATTAGCAGATGAGGCCAGGAACAAGGCTATAGGCATAAGCCATCCCATAATATTCTGCATATTTGCCAGACTTGTAGGAGAGATTTGGCTAAGATTATATAAGAAGGAAGTATGGGAAGTCACATTATTCACGGCACATTTTTCTTTTATTGATAGAGTCCCACATATACAAATACAAATTAATTGAACTCTTTAACATCTGCTTTTTAAAATGCTTCAGAAGGGGGCAAATAATTGGTAGTCAATTATGTCTGAAAACTTCCTTTTTTTAACATGCATAAGAGCTTACATTTTTCTCTGTGGATTTGGCCTTGGCCTATAATTGAAGCATTAGCAATGCTAATTCATTCTCCCAAGCACTTTATTTTTAATATGTTTTAACATAACGCTATATTCAGATAGATACTCTTCACAAGTAAGAAAGCTGAAGGTCATAAAAGTAAAGCAAGCATTTGAACCTGAGTTTGCCTAACATCTAACTATGCCTTCTTTGTGCATACATCTCTAGTGACAATGCTGAAGCAGTACTATATATCATGTGTATATCAGTTTTTTCTTATTAAAACATAGTTAGCATACATATTTTTTCTTACCTATTTGGTTTTGTTACCAGCAGTGGAGAATCCACATGGGTCTGCAGCAACTTCAATTCTTGCCTCCTCAGAAGAAAGAATTCGACCGAGGGGCATAAGGCAGAGTGAGAGACTGAGGTAAGTTCTGGAGTGGGAGTGAAAGTTTATTAAAATGTTTAGAGCAGGAATGAAGGGAAGTAAAGTACACTTGGAAGAGAGCCAAGTGGGAGACTTGAGAGATCAAGGGCACTGTTTGATCTTTGACTTGGGATTTTATACATTTTGCATGCTTCTGGGCTCTTGAGTCCCCTTTTCCCTGATTCTTCTCTTGGGGTGGGCTGTCTGCATGTGCAGTGGCCTGGCAGCACTTGGGAGCGGCTGCACGCACAGTGTGTTTACGGAAGGTGTATGCATGCTTACTTGAGGTGTTGTTCCCTTACCAGTCAACTGTTCCTAAAAGGTCATATACCGGTTACCAGTTAAACTCTGCCATTTTCCTCTTAGTGTGCATGCATGAGCCCACTTGCCCAACCCCTAAGATCTTATCAGGAAGCTGCTGATCATCAACTTTAGTTGTTTTCTATATATTTGGAGACTGCCTTTCCCTGGTACCAGCTGCCATCAATTATTATTTTAAAGAGACAGCTCAAAAACCACCTATTACCTGATCATCACCTGACATTCCTGGTTGTGGGGGACCTCTCCTGTCCTGACCATATCTGCCTATTTACTGTAACAGCTTGATTTATTAAGGATACACAAAATTTCTTATCTAAACTTGTATTCATCAAACAACAGTGTGATTTCATACATAAACTTGATAAATACCTAATACATGATTACATTAATGAGAAAATATAGAAATGAACACATATAAATTTTGCTCTAAATTCTGAGTTATTATTGTAAACCAGAAACAAAATTGTAAGACCCCTACACATCCCCCAACCCATCTGAACAGACCTCTCCTCTTGGCCAAGGGCATTCCAAAGTTAACCTGAAAAACTAGTTGAGGCCATGATGGGAAGGGGGGCTCAAACATGCCTCTGTATACCCTCCTCCCTTTCGGAATTTAGGAAAACCTGACTAGCATTAACATCAACCGGAGCCGTAAGTCTGATAGGAAACATTTACAACCAATTCTCTCTGAAGCCTGCTACCTGGAGGCTTCATCTGCATGATAAAACCTTGGTGTCTACAACCCCTTATCATAACCTAGACATTTCTTCCTATGAATAATAACTCTTTCAACCAATTGCCAATCAGAAAATTTTTTAATCTACCTATGACCCAGAAGCCCCTCCTTCTAGTTGTCCTGCTCTTCCAGATCAAGTCAATGTAAATCTCATATATATAGATTGATATATTGATATATTGATTGACGCCTCCCTAAAATGTATAAAAGCAAGCTGTACCCTGACCACCTCAGGTACATATCATGAGGACTTCCTGAGGCTGTGCCATGGACATGTCTTTAACCTTGGCAATAACTTTGGCAAAAGTTTCTAAATTGATTGAGGCCTATCTCAGATATTTCTGGGTTCACTTTACTGTCAATAAAATGAGACTTCTGCTCACATATGGTCAATAGCATCTTGTAAGAGGATCAGAGTAAGATGACTAGAAAGGAAACCTTAAAAAAAAGGAAAAAGAAACCCTCTCTTTCATTCCTCTCCTCCTTTTATGTCAGCATTGATTATCAAGGAAAAAAAGTTAAAATATAGATTTGTTATGTATGGCCCTAATTGAACATTTATTTTAGTTTTTTATATTTAGTTTTTTAAACAATTAATTAGCAGGTAAATAATTTTTCTTTATTCTCAACCAACAATACAGATAAATTAGATTTCAGAAATTAATTCGTTAATAGAGGCATACTAAGTAATTACTTCTAGCAGGTTCTGTAGTAGATAAATGGATTCTATGGAACTCCTCCTATGGAAGGAACTGTTAACTCTCTGTGGATCTCTGGAAACTCAACTACTGTCTTTCAATACCACAGTTCTTGGTATATTCAAAATTATTTTAGATTCTCAATTATTTTAGATTAGAAGGATGTATGCATGCATATGTACCCAAATAAATTAATTAAATGAGTAAATTAATTTTCTGGAGATATTTTAAATGATTTGGTATAATTCCTGATCTTCAAAGACTTCTATTCACAGCAAAGAGTGAGGAATGTGTGTGCTAATTGCAAGCAGTTCCATTTCAGAGAGATGTTTCTTTTACTTAATTTAATCGGCATGTGATACGTGCCTCCATCAGTGTGCACAGATGATGACAGAATTCTCAAGACAAATGGTGAGGTGAGACTGGCCTGGGCTTGACAAGCAAAATTTCAGTTTTAAATGGGCTAAGATCAATAGATAAAGACACATACATAGGAAAGTACAGAGGAATATAAGTGTTGCTATGTACCAAAAAATTTATAAAACTCAAATTTATGTTGGTGTACCTTTTGTTTAGTGGGACCATCTTATGGCAGACCTTTTTTGTAAAATGAAAAGAAGCTGTCCACTTACCCTGAGCCCCAACTGAAACTTGTCCTGAAATTTATGAAGGTTTAACACAAGTAGTAGAATTTTATGGTGGAGTGAGGGCAGGCAAATGCGGGCAAACAAAGAAAAACAAAAAAGGGTAAATAACCAACAATAACATGAATAATCCTATAATGACAAGTTATATATAAAATAGAACTGCTATTAAACTGGCTCTAGACTTTGCCTCTACAACATTAAATTCAACACTAAATTTTAAAAAGTAAAGTCATTGTGAACAAATTTTGAAATAAAAATATGAGCCAATAACTTAAATTTAGCTAATTTCCTTGCATGAAGAACACAGAATTTTTTTTTTTTTTTTGAGATGGAGTCTTGCTCTGTCACCCAGGTTGGAGTGCAGTAGCATGACCTCAGCTCACTGCAGCCTCTATCTCCTGGGTTCAAGCGATTCTCCTGCCTCAGCCTCCTGAGTAGTTGGGACTACAGGCACCCGCCACCACGCCCGGCTAATCTTTTGTATTTTAGTAGAGACGGGGTTTCACCATATTGCCCAGGCTGGTCCCGACCTCCTAAGCTCAGGCAATCCGCCTGCCGTGGCCTCCCAAAGTGCTAGGATTACAGGTGTGAGCCACCGTGCCTGGCCAGAAAATTTCTTAGATATGAAAAGGATGAGAAATAATTTCTCCTACAAATTGTATATATAAAATTCTTTTAAAGTGACAGCCATCTGACAAGATATAAATAAAAATTAAGTACTCAATCATGGTAGATACCAGTTACTTTAACATCCTAATGAAGGACCTCTGACCATAAAACTGCAACTGCTTTATAAGAGAATGGAAAGAAGACAGAGGTCAAAAGCTCTATATATAAATCCTGGATAACTATGTGACCGAGGACAAATCAATTTCTTTTTTTAAAAATTCATTTTTAATTGACAAGTAAAATTGTTTATATTCATGATGTACAATAAGATATCTTAGATTATATAAATACATATGCACATATAAAATATGAAAGTTTAATTATTATTGTCCCACAGTGATTGATTTAAAAATTATCTAGCAGCATCAGCAGTAGTTTGTATTTCTCCTTCCAGAAAGATCCCTATTAAAATGCAGGTAAGCTTTCTTATTGTTACATGAATACTTGTATTTGGGCTTATATATTCCATTAATTAGAAAATTCTTACTTCCTTGTGAGAGAATTTAATCTTAAATTTTTCCAAAATTTAAAAAAATTTTTTTTCTAGAGAAAGTAGCTCTTTTATCTGAATACAGTGTCCAGAATCTGGCCCTTTTTCTATTCAACCTTTTTTTCTCTGTCTCTCATTATGAACCATTTAGACTGTCCCCCTTTATATATCATCATCTCCTCCTTCTGTTTACTCCCCAGAAAATATTCAGCTTTGTCTCATGTTTTCCCCTCTTGTCATGCTCTCTCTTCCCACAGTGTGATCTTCTCTGTACTCCACTTAACTTCAAATTGCCCATCCTGCACAATTCTTCTGATGACTTTAGCCATTACTTGTGCTCCATAACTCACCATTTAGCTTATTCTGTGAATGGCCAGTCATATTTTATTATATTCATGTTTCAAGGTTTACTTATTATGCATTTCAGTAATATGCTATTTTAGACTTTATGTGTCTTTTAATGTATTTTTAAAATGAGCTTGAATGTCATTAAGCTCAGGAGCAAAGGAGGGGATGGTGAATTCAAATAACAACACTAAATATTATCTCAACTAGTTGGTCACATTCACTAATATAAAAGTTCTTTAGAAAGTTCAAGCTTGCTGTTCAATGTGCAGAAAGAATCTTTCTTTAAGAGCCTAATCTAACTAATATAATTGGAACTAAAAGATGCATACAATATAAGAGCAGACAGCAGGGCATCTAATTTATTAATTTACACTGAGCTATTAAACTGTTACAAAAACAAAAATACTTAAGAGGACTGCTGCAATATTGAAAGAGATAATGCACATGAGGCCTGAAATATGGTGAGCATTTAGACATCAGTTATCATGCTATTTGTTTCAGTTCTTTATTGTCCAGTTATGTAAAAATCCACTTGATAACGGTATAGCTTCCTTGCATTTCTGATTGTGCTGATGGTGTTCTAAATAGACTCCTCCTTTTCCTTTGGGCTGTCTTCTCTCCTCTAGATATCTTTCATTTTTACCCTGTGAGTATTAATATGAAAATGTGGCCTAGGTTTTTCTTGCTTCTACAGTCAACTTTGACTTCATCTGTACTCTGATAAGTAGATTAGAAGAAATCCATGAGCTTTCATTAAAGCTTACTATAAAAGCTTATGATTTTAGAATTTACCAAATTCTGCTGTTAAATGTCTATTTCTTGGTTTAGTAGTCAGAGGTAAGGGAATTTTATTTACCTCATGTTTAATTTTAGAGGGTTGTCTCAGTATATCATCTAAGAATAGTTTATAGAATATTAAGTGCCCCATAAGCATGTTGGGGTCTAAACTAGTATTCTGAAAATAATAGCAATGACTTTCTTTTTTCTCATGACATACTCATGGTAGTAAATTTAGAAAAATGTATTTGGTTTACTTACCTTGAATTAATCCATTTCAAATATTTAATTAAGACATATATGTGCTTTAATTTGAGCTATTCAATGAATCACCATGGGAACTGACACACAGATTACACTTTCCCTAATAAACAAGTTGACAGTCTGCTTTATCTGACAATAGCAAGCATATGACATTTCTGACAAAGAAAGAAATGGCAATGTAACAATTATATACAGCTTTTACATTCTCCTTGGATACTATAAAAGCATTTAGAAATTTTCTGTTGATGATTCTACAACAGATATAAATTAAACCAAGCTATTGTTTCTGAATATATGGAGAATAAATTGTCTCTTAACACCTCTGCAGAGCTTAAGTAAAATTTGATAATTATATATGTGGCAACATTATGTAATTTCAATAAAGTGAACCATTTATGACCTTTTTTTTTTTTGAGATAGAGTTTCACTTTGTTGCCCTGGCTGGAGTGCAGTGACACAGTCACCTCTCACTGCAGCCTTGACCACTGAGACCTCCCTGGTCTCAGGTCAAGTGACACTCCCACCTTAGCCTCCAGAGTAGCTGGGACCACAGGCGCATGCCACCATGCTCAGCTAATGTTTTGATTTTTTTGTAGAGATGGGGTTTCACCATGTTGTCTAAGTTGGTCTTGAACTCCTCAACTTAAGTGATCCTCCTTACTCAGCCTCCCAAAGTGCTGGGATTATAAGTTTGAGCCACCACATCCGGCCTATGTATGTACAGAAATAAAATTGTATGTAATAGAAATAAAATATGAGAGCAAGGACATGAGTAATTTGAACCTTGCTATTTCATGAGCATTTGGGTATGTTCAAGTTATAACCCTTCTATGAATCCAGTTTGAGCAGAAGGCAAGGTTTTAGGGATACAAGCTTATAAAGAGATGTTGTAAGATACAATTTTGAACTTCTCTACCACATATATATATATAAACTATGCAAGTTATGAAATCTTATATGCAAATATATGTTAGTATTGCCTAAAATTGAGGACACATATATTCCACTGGGGAGCCAGAGACCCAGGCCAATCCTAGCCCTGCTGCTGGCTTCTCTTCTTCCTCCCTGCACAGAGTTATGGAAGAAGAAAGAATAAAAAATGAGGACAAGAGTTATCACTCCTATAGCCAAGCAGCTCCTACTGGACCCAACCCTCCTGTACATAGCAGCTAAAACCTCCAGACAAACTAGAAAAACATCGTTGACAGGCCATGCACCGTGGCTCTCACCTGTAATCCCAGCATTTTGGGAGGCCAAGGCAGGCGGATCACCTGAGGTCAGGAGTTTGAGACCAGACTGGCCAACATGGTGAAACCCCGTCTCTACTAAAACTACAAAAATTAGGCAAGCATCGGGGCAGGCACCTGTAATCCCAGCTGCTCAGGAGGCTGAGGCAGGAGAATAGCTTGAACTCAGGAGGTGGATGTTGCAGTGAGCCGAGATCATGCCATTGCACTCCAGCCTGGGGGACAAGAGCAAGACTGTGTCTCAAAAAAAAAAAAAAAAAAAAAAAAATCATTGACACTGGAGGGTGATCAAATGCAAGTAGATTCTAGAGCTGAGTTGACACTTAAAAAATGTTACTGTGAGAGTTGTTTGTTTTTGCTTGGCTTTTACTTTGAAGGTAGGCCAACATTTTCAATGTGAGATTGTGGTGAGAGCTCTTATAGAAAAATCTGTTGATTTTCTGGCCTGAAAAATGGCAGACGTATTTTAAGACAACTGTACTTCTGAAAACTGAAGGGAGAATCCTGGAAAGAGACAGCCACAGATGAGGTGCCACAAATTCTGAGTACAAGCCCTATCCTTGCCTTATTGGTGAACCATGCTTCTATGGTGCAGACTCAAAGTAACTTTCAACGTGTACTAGAATAACTAAACTGAAATTTGAGCTGCTACTCATGAGATGTAATAAAATGTTTGTAATCTGAATCTAACCAAATTATTGCCTATTAAAAATATCAGCATTCATAAGAAGAATACAACCGAATGCAGATTTTATATTGTATTCACAATAAGGAGGATAGAATAAAAAATAATTGTGTACGAGAAACCGTAAAAATGTTACTAGTTCTTTTTTTCAATTTTTATTGATACAAATAAGTATGCATATTTATAGGGTACATGTGGTTTTCGTCATATGCATGTAATGTACAATGATCAAGTCAGGATATTAGGGTATTCGTCACCTGAAGTATTTATCGTTTCTACATGTTGCGGACATTTCAAATTATTTCTTCTAGTTATTTTGAAATATAAAATGAATGTCTATTATAATCGCTCTGCTATTGACCATAGAACTTATTCTTTCTTTCTTTTTTATTGGATGGAGTCTCGCTCTATCACCCAGGCTGGAGTGCAGCGGCGCCATCTTGGCTCACTGCAGCCTCCAACTCCCAGGTTCTAGAGATTCTCCTGCCTCGGCCTCCTGAGTAGCCAGGGCTATAGGCATGCACCACCACTCCTGGCTAATTTTTGTATTTTTAGTAAAGACAGGGTTTCACCATGTTGGCCAGGCTGGTCTCAAACTCTTGACCTCATGATCCGCCTGCCTCAGCCTCCCAAAGTGCTGGTATTACAGGCTTGAGCCTCTGCACCCGACCCTTATTCCTTCTTTCTAACTGTATGTTTGTACTCATTAACCACCCTCTTTTTATCCCCCACACTACACCATTCCCACACTCTGGTAACTTTTATTCAATTCTCTAACTCCATGAGATTAACTTTTTTAGCTCTCATATTTGAATGAGAACATGCGCTATTTATCTTTCTTTTCCTGGCTTATTTCACTGGACATAATGACCTCTAATTCCATCCATGTTGCTGCAAATGACAGGATTTCATTCTTCTTAGACTAGATAGCATTCCATTGTGTGTATATAACATATTTTCTTTAACCATTCATCTGTTGCTGGACACTTAAGTTGATTCCGTATCTTTGCTATTATGAAGAGTGCTGCAATAAAAATGTGGTGAAGGTATCCCTTTGATATACTGATTTCCTTTTCTTTAGAGAAATACCCAGTAGTGAGACTGCTGGATTGTATGATTAGTAGTTCTGTTTTTAGTTTTTGCTTTGTTTTGTTTGTTTTAGTTTTTTATGATGGCTGAACTAATTTACATTCCCATCAACAGTATATAAGAGTTTTCTGTTCTTCACATACTCACCAGCATCTGTTATTGTTTTGTCTTTTTAATAATAGCCATTCTATTACTCTTTCTTAAAGATAAAACTCAACAAATTTTAACCTTAAGATTATTCAGATGATGGAATTTTCATACAAAGACTTTAAAGCAGAAAAAGAAGTAAACTATCTCAATGTGGAAAAAAGACATCTAAGAGAAACATAAAGCTAATATAATTAATGTTGAAATATTCAGTTTTTTCTCTATAGTCAGTAACAAGGTAATGATGTCTGCTTTTACATTTATTTGATATTGCACTTATGTATTCATACTTGATCTGTGTGCATAAAATTTATACAGTTTTATCATCTGTGTATGTTCATGTATCTACCACCAGAGTCAAGATATAAAAATCATCCCACAGTCCCAACAATGGACTGTTATTGGGACTGTGGGATGATTTTTGTATCTTGACTCTTGGTGGTCGATACATGAACATACACAGGTGATAAACATTCTTCAGCATGGATATTCCACATTTCATTTATCAATTCACCAGCTGATGAGCATTTGTGTTGTTTTCCATTTTTTACTAGTATAAATAAAGTTACTATGGATATCCTTATACAGTCCTATATGTGGACACATGTTTTCATTTGTTTTGGGTAAATACCTAGCAATGGGGTGGGTGGGTTTCAAAACAGGTGAATATTTAGCTTTTAAAGAAACTGTTAGCTTCATTAGCTAACTGCTGTTGCCCTTTTATAACCACACCCAGCTCCCTTTCCACCCCATCTAATCCCTGGAAACCACTGATCTCTCTTCCATTTCTGAAGTCAGGATGCCCAGACTGGGACATTTGCTGTGACTGCATCCATGTTTCTTGTGCTGCATGCATCCCTGAGCAGGGAAAGGGAGTCTCACATGAGACAAGTTTTCCGAAATTGGGAAAACTGCTCTAATGAGTATAACTGCTCTCTTGCAATTTCAGCTCTCCCACCTCTTTATCTTTTCAGAGTAAAGTTGTATTTCAGGCCCAGTGGGATAGATAGCATTTCCCCTGGCCACTTTTTTTTGGTGGGCCCCCTGAATGATTCCCTTTGCCAGTGGGGTCAAGCTTGTCTGATGTTGCCACACAGATTCTTCTTTGTGTGGAGATATGAGCCTACCTGGGCTGTCTTCTGTTGCTAGGTTGGGGATGGGAAACAATTAATCCATATGGCCTTCCTCTGTTGGTTGGGAGAACACAAGCTACCTGCCATTATTTTATTCCTTCATTTCTGTAGTCACAAACTAACTCCTCACTTTCCTCTTACTCCTTTGGAATTTTCCTTTGGTTGTCTTTGCGACATTTTCAAGGTTTATAGTTGTGCTCCATGAGGATCAGAAGAGAAATATGGGTCTATATCATCTTTCCCAAACTAGAAGTCTTCCCAAACAAATTTTTTTAAAAGAAGAAAAATTTGGTAAACTTATATTATCTAATTTAAACTCCTATTATAAAGCTACAGTGATTAAGAGAATATGGTATGAGCAACAGTATAGATGCTGGATCAAGGGAACAGAATAGGAATCGTAGAAATACAATCACTACGTATGTTTAATTGATTATCTTTAAATGTTCCATGACAATTAATGGAGAATGAAAATATAAGAATAACTGGTTACCCATATGAATAAAAATGAACTTCAAACTTCACCTCACATATACACAAAAATAATGCAAAATGGATCATGCATCTGAATATAAAAGCTAAAATTATAAAACTTCTACAAAATATTTATGGCTATGACATGGCCAAACATTTCTCAGATTACAATATAAAGCACGAACCATAAAATTAAGAAAATAAATGATGAGTTGGAGTTTACTATAGTTAAAATTCATTTGGTTTTTGCAGGACACTATGAAGAAAATAAATAGTACAACAATTAATATAATAAAACATTCTTTTAAATCTAACAGATAATTTGTATCTAGAATATGTAAAGAACACATAAAGCTCAATAGTAAGAAAAGAACAAACAGTAGAAAAAATGATAAATGATTTTATAAAGTTATTAACAAAATAGCATGTACAAATATCTTAAAAGCGTACATTCTCAATATTATTAACCGTGAGGGAATTACAAATTAGAACCATAATTTGATATGAATACACAACTCTTAGAATTGCTAAAATTAAAAATATTTAAATTCACAATTGCTAGTAAAAATGTGGAACAACTTGGACTCTCATACCCTTTTGGTGTGAATATGAAATGGTGCAACCACTTTAGAAAACTAACGTCTCTTTAAAAGCTAAATATTTACCTGTTATGAAACCCAGCCACTGCATTGCTAGGTATTTACCCAAACAAATGAAAACACATGTCCACATAGAGAACTGTATAAGAATATCAACAGTAATTTTATTTATACTAGTAAAAAAATGGAAAACAACACAAATGTTCATCAGCTGGTGAATTGATAAATGGAATCTGGAATATCCTTGCTAAAGAATGTTATTCAGATATAAAATGAACAAGTCACAGATACCAAAAGCTAAAAAAAAAAAAAAAATCTTACAATCATTATGGTGAGTAAAAAAAGTTACAAATAATTATATCTAATGGATGATTTTATTTATATATATGAACATATGTCATATATATTTACATATAAATATATATGTTAGAAAAAGAAATCCAATCTATAATGAGATAGCAAATAGCATCAGATGACTTGGGGAGGTGGTGGAAATATTCTGTGTCCTAAGGGCAGCAATAATTTTACAGTGTATAAATATGTCAAAATGCATAAGATTGAACACTTTGAATAAAAGATTTTTTGCTCTCTTCCTTCCTCATAGGGCCTATTTAAGTAAAAAAAAAAAGACACCTATTATAAATCAAATATGTCAATATATTACAATTTGTACCTCTGCTTCTTAATGTACAGACTACTTGTCATTCTTACCCTTCAATTACGTATGTAAAGGCAAGAAAGAATAAAACTGCTCAAAAGTGTATGCTTTGTTTAGTGAGAAGAACCTTCTTGAGATTGAATGCAGAGTTCAAAATATTAGTTTAAATGTTTTTAATTTTTACACTATGCACTCTATGTTGTTTAAATTATTTTCATATAATGTATATTCAAATTATAATTTAAAATCACCATAATAAAAATAGCAACACTAATTTTTCCATCAGGATGAAAGATAATCACTGTCAATATTTTAGTATATGTTTTCTCACAATTACCTTCTATTTTTTCAGAAGGAAAACATCTTTACTTTTGATGTTTACTTTTGAATATGAGATGATATATGATTTACTGCAAAGATTTTGAACTATATATACTATTGATAGGAAGCAAATAAAAATCACCTGATATTTCATTACATTGATAATCATCATTAACACTTAATGACCATTCAGACACCTCTTTTATGGCTACATATGTACACTCTCCTATATAATTCTTCATGAATTTGTATGTTATATATGATAATTTTATCACATATACATTTTAAAAATACTTCTTTTGCAATTCTCATTTTATGCAGTAAGATTTCACTAAAATGCAACATAATAAAAATATCTATGTTATTAAAACATTAGACAAACATCAACCTTACCCAGATAGGGAATCAAGAGTAGCTAGCAATAACAGTCATACAAAATAGAAATTTTCTAAATTTTTCAATAGAGAAGAGTAGGTAGATGTCAAAATTTAGAAAGAAAACAAGATTTAGTTTCTCATAAAATTGAGAGAGAGTGGTTTTATTCTTAGGTTGGTGCAAAAGTAATTGCAGGTCTTGCCATTACTTTTAATGTTTAACTAAGATGTGGTAGTTTCATGGGTAAAGAAAGGCTTAACTTAAATGTAGTAGTTTCATGGATAAAGAAAGGTTTAACTCAGATACAGTAGTTTCATGAGTAAAGAATGGTTTAACTTAAATGTAGTAGTTTCATGGGTAAAGAAAGGTTTGACTTAGATACAGTAGTATCATGGGTAAAGAACGGTTTAGCTTAAATGTAGTAGTTTCATGGGTAAAGAAAGGTGTATACTATGTCAACTACAAATACTTTCTGAAGAACATAAATGTGTGAAATCTATTTGTAAAAAACTCCTTAAAGGTGAAGACTGAGAGGATGGTGAGGACTAAAAAACTGCCTATCAGGTACTATGCCTATTACCTGGGTAACAAAATAATATGTACACCAAACCTCCACAACAGGCAATTTATCTATAGAACAAACCTGCACATGTACCCCTAAAACAAAAATAAATGTTTAAAATTTTTCTTTTTCTACTTTATCATTTTCAAATTTCTAAATCATTTTTAAGAATCTATTAATAGATATTGGGTCGAAATCCAGATTTCAGATCCAGAATGCCTGTGCCTGAATACTGGCTCTGTCATTTTCACGCCCCATGAACTTGGGGAAAAAACTTAACCTTTCTTTACCAGAGTTTCATTATCTGAAAAATAGCCAATAGTAATACTATCTGTCTTAAGGTACTGTTGCTGGAAGTAAATCAATGCTATAAATTAAACAGTAGCTGCTGTTTCTTAGGTGATCTTGAAGTACTTGCATTATTATGTATTATAGAATTTTAAAAGTCCCTTTCACATGCAAATAAGGCTTAGAAGAATGCAGTTCAGGTATTCTCACTGATTGCTTAAATTATGAAATTAAATGAAGTAATTTGTTCAAAATCAGAGTTGCAATTCAGTTCCTAGACTTGCGTTATTCATGATTTACTGTTTCTACCCAGCAGCATTTGATGATGCTTTAAGAAAATACCAGATATTTTATATTATAACTTTCACAGGCTAAATTTTCTTTTTCAATTAATCACTCATTCAGCTGAATGACAACTATTTAAGAAGGAAATAAGCCAATTTATATCTGGGACTATCAATCTGCTCTTAACAGAATAGACAATTGGCTGATATAAAACTCTAGGTGTGCAATAACATTTCTTCTTCCTAATTTGTTGTAAATGTCTTCTTTTCTCAGTCATTTAGAATCATGAAAGAGAATTCTGAGCCTGGATTTTGCTTCTAAATCCCTGTAACTGCAAGTTCTTAGGAATATTTTCTTTAAATCTCTAGTTTGAATTTTGTCCACATGTGATTTTTATTCCATCATTTTTTTCTGGTGTGGTAAGTACACATATACTTTTATTTTTCTCCTGTGTCTTCATTGATAACTTGGTACAAATTAACAGAGGCAGATTTTTGGTTACAAGCCAGCTGCACCCTTAAATTAAAAAGCCCTTATTTATATTTATCCATATGGTTCATTACTATGAATTTATAAGTGTTTCATTTTGACAATTTTTAAAATAAGAAAATATTTAAATCATAAGATAAAATAAATATTGGGCTTTGTAATGAATTACATCACAATCCATGTGTAGTAATAAATGAAAGACACTTATTTAGCAGAAATGGTAACATACCAAACAGCAAATAATATAGGGAGTGGTTTTAATCCTCTATCGTTGAAAATTAGTGAAACTCTCTGTCTCATAGGACCAAAAATGTTTGGTCTAGCTCAAAACTAATCTTATTTTGTGTACTTTATATTATTATATATTTTGAAGGTTGTACTGCAAGCACTGTCTAGCTTAGAACTCTTAGATAATGAATTGGAATGAATTGGAATGGCTGTCCGTTGTGTGTGGAGTTTGGCACCAGTCTCTCTAGTTGTAATTGCTCAAGTGTAAGACTTTAAATACAGCACCTGCATTGACTGTATTTCTCTGTCTTGGCTATCTATGCCTCCCATTGCTAGCTTTTAATCTTAGTTCATCCTCTCACTTGCTTTATCCTATCCAAGATTACCCAATGAAGTAAAAAGAGTAGTTCTTGATCTAAGTAATTGTTTTGACCCCTCCATATTTAATTAACTTTCCTTAATACCACCATTGATTTTGAACTATCAATGAAAATTGAATAAATATATTTTTTAAAAACCTGGGGCCACCAATGAATGATGCTTCTCTTCCTCCCAGGTGTTCGATAAATATTTATGGGCTTGAAAACTAGAAAACATAAAGTTATTTTCCCAGAAGGATTTGCTTCATTTGAACCCCAAATAATGAAAGGCAGCAATATATATTTTCTAAGCGTTTACTTTGATCTGATGTCTCATTAAAACTATCAGTCACAAAGAATTGCTTAATTGTGTAGTAGGGCTATATTCAAAATATCCAATTACATTTCCTTCAATTAACTTTTGCTAGCTGATGTTTACAAGTAATTTAGTGAAATTAGGTGAAGGTTAAATTACTGTAGCAATCAGAGGTGTGCTTAAGTGGTAAAATATAGAGCAAGAACTGCTTGTTCTTATAAATATGCATATTAACACACTGCCCTCAGGATATAACATCAACCCTCCTCATTTAATGCTAGTAATAAATCTCCATGTGCCGTTGCTTCAGGTTGCGGAACTCCGTGATGTATACTCAGCCATTTAAACAAATTAGCTTTCCATAAACAGATTTTTAAACTATGCCCTTTAAAGCCACACTCTATTAATCTGTTGATATTCCCCAATCTATAATTCTAGCTCTAACTTTTTCGAAATTCATACCTAAACTTCCAACTTCCAACTAATTATTACTAACTGGAAGCTTCTCAGTAAGAAGTGTTCCTCACTATTTTGTAAATTGAGCTTATTTATCTGTCTCCAATATAACTCGCTCCTCTCATGAATTCTTTATTTATATGTAGTGTTGGCATCTTCCAAAACACAAATTTTACTCATCCCCATTCGCATCCCCACAACGGCACTAGATGTCTCCTATTTTCTTCAACCACACAAATAATCTTTTTTTCTTCCTTTTATCTCCCAATGCCTTACAGAGGCCTTTGCTATTTTTGTTTCTAAATTATCCCTTATTAGAAATTATTTCAGAAATAATTCAATAAATGCTCATTTAAAAAATGTGAACAATGCCAATAGGTCCCAGGAAAATTAAAAAGCTCTCTAGTCACATAACTTGGAATTTTTCATCATTAAAATGTTTGTGTGTAAACTATTTTCTTACGTGAATCGTAAACACACTTAACAATATATATTTTTTAACATGCTGAGATTGTCCCAGTTTTAGGGATTTTATACTCATTATTTTTTCTTCCTAGATATTTCTGTTAATCTATTTACATTATTATATTTGAAGTGAGTTCTTTTTGTAGATAGTATATATGTAGGTTATATTTTTTTCTGCTCTGATAATCTCCTGTCTCTTAATTCGGATGTTTAAACTATTGTCATTTAAGGTAATTATTAATATGTACAGATTTAAATAAGTCATATCATTTTTCATTTTTGTCCTCTGTGTTTATTTCTTTCCCCCTTTGAAGAATATTTTTGTTTAGTATTCTGTCTTAATTTCTCTTGTGATTTTGACTACATCTTGTTGAAATTTTTTTCTTACAGTTGCTCTAAATATTACACAATATATACTAAATCTTTCAGTTTACTAAGCATTGATATTTACCAGTTGAATTACAATGTAGAAACCTTAACACAATATAGGCCTCTGATCCTATAGTTGTCTTATATATTACATCTATATACATTGAAAATTCCAGCAAAGTTTTAGTTTTAGCTTTCAACTTTCAAATAGATTTTAAATAACTCAAGAAGAGCTGATAGTCTATTATATTTACCTTGACTTTTACCAGTTTTTTTCTTTCTTATTTCTTGGTGTCATTGTCCTTTAGTGCAAAGAACTTCTATTAGCAATTTTTTTTTTAGAGTAAATCTGTTTTCTGTGAATTGTTTTAGTTTTCCTTTATCTGAGAATGTCATTATTTTACTTTCATTCCTAAAGAATATTATTACTGAATATGGAATTATGGGTTAACAATTCATTCTTTCAGTCCTTTAAAATGTTATGCCACATCCTTCTAGACTCTACAATTTATGATGAGAAATATGCAATCAGGCCAGGCGTGGTGGCTCACGCCTGTAATCCCAGCACTTTGGGAGGCAGAGGCCTGCCAATCACTTGAGGTCAGAAATTTGAGACCAGCCTTGCCAACATGGTAAAATCCCATCTCCACTAAAAATAACAAAAAATTATTCCTGTAATCCCAGGTACTTGGGAGGCCTTGGTGGGAGGATTGCTTAAACCCCGGGAGGCAGAGGCTGCAGTCAGCTGAGATCACTCCATGGCACTCAAGCCTGGGTGACAGAGCAAGACTCTGTCTCAAAAAAAAAAAAAAAAAAAAAAAAAAAAAAAAAAAGCAATCATTCAAATTATTATTCTCCTATAGGGAATGCATTGGCTTTTTTTCTCTGGCTGCTTTTAATATTTTATCTTTGTCTTTAGTTTTCCAGCTTTGATTGTGATGTGTCTAGCCCTGAATTTCTTTCGATTTATTCTGTTTGGGATTCACTCAGCCTCTTGAATCTCAATGTTTGTGTCTTTTACCAACCTTGAAATTTTGGGGGCATTATTTCTTCATATTATTTTTCTAGGACTGCGCTCTTTCTCTTTTACTCCTGGAATTCTAATTTTAAAATGTTACAATTTTGGTTAATGTCTCAGACAACGGGATATTTTTCTTTATTCTTTTTTAATCATTTTTTTTCTCTGTTGTTCAGATTCATAATCTACTGATATATTTTCTAGTAATTGACTATTTTGCCATGTCTATTCTGCCATTCCGTCTATCCAGTGATTTCCTTATTTTGGTTATTATATCGTTCAGTTCTCGATTTAGATTTGATTCTTTATGTCTTTTATTTCTTTTCTGAAACATCAGTTTAACATTTGTTGTAGGAGTGTTTCTGTCTGATCCATGTTGACCTATGTTAATTACCTTTTCTATTGAGCAGAAGTGTAGGTGGTGCTTCATGTGCCAAGTAATTTTGTATTGTATCCTGGACATTTAAAATATGATACTCTGCAGCCGGGCGCGGTGGCTCATGCCTGTAATCCCAGCACTTTGGGAGGTTGAGGCGGGTGGAACACGAAGTCAGGAGATAGAGACCATCCTGGCTAACACGGTGAAACCCCGTCTCTGCTAAAAACACAAAAAATTAGCCAGGCGTGGTGGTGGGCGCCTGTAGTCCCAGCTACTCAGGAGGCTGAAGCAGGAGAATGGCAAGAACCCGGGAGGCGGAGCTTTCAGTGAGCCAAAATCGCACCACTGCACTCTAGCCTGGGTGACAGAGCGACACTCTGTCTCAAAAAAAAAAAAAAAATATATATATATATATACACATGTATATGTATATATATATACACACATGTATATGTATATATATATACACACATGTATATGTATATATATACACACATGTATATGTATATATATACACACATGTATATGTATATATATACACACATGTATATGTATATATATACACATGTATATGTATATATATACACATGTATATGTATATATATATACACACACACACATATATATACAAAAATATATATGATACTCTGCATTATGTTTCCATACTATAAAAATATTATTTTTATTAATGCAGGCAATCAAATAGGATTAGATTCTACCAACCAACCTTCTTTGGTCTGCGGCTTCAATGTCAGTTCAGATTTGAATCATCTGTAGTGTTCCTCAAATCTGTCTTCAGTGTGTTCTACCTAGCAGTCAGTCTGGGACCTCAAGATAATTCATCTCTTAGTTCAGATTCGCAAAGTCTATGGTGTGCTTACTATGTTCACATTCACGTATGCATGCCCTGGAGATGAGACCCAGAGTTCATAAACTTTATGTCTGGATTTTTGAGCTCTTTGCTCTCTGTGATCTCTAAGGTACTTCTGGTTATATGAAACTGTAGTCCACTTCAATAGAAAGAAAGTTTCCTTTTTCTCAGAGTTTGATTCTCTTGGGTTCTCCCTCCTGGATACTTCCCATGTACTATGAGGCTGCTTAAGGCTGGTGCATGAAACATATAAAATTAATAAGAACAAAAACTTGGAGGAAGGAAGGAGGGAAGTGAGAGAGGGAGGGAAGAGATTTCTGCATTCTTCCTTAGTTGGGAGTTCTCTTTCCAGCAACTCAGGAGAAGCTCGTTGGCTTTGATTAGAGGTTTCTGCGTCTGAACTTCTGTACTCCTGGTTTCTTGAACTTAGGCTAGTGTGGGATAGGGGTACAAGCAAGGAAAAAGAAAGGTAAACTCATAGCCAGTTTGGTGATACTTCAAAACCTGGCATTTTTCCTCAATCTGCCTGCTGCTATTTACTTTTTAAGTCCTAATATTACTATCTCATTTATTCTGTCAGATTTTCTATTCATAAAAGGGTGAATTATGCTTACCCTATGTTATTAGAAGGCAGTTGTCTCAGGATTATTCTCCTTGAGAGTTTAACATAAACAACTTGTCTTTACCCAAAGTCTCTGCCCAAAGTCAGCTGCTTCAAAATAACTTTTGGACCACCACCACGAGTAGGCCCTCATCTCCCAACTAGCCACCTTTTCAGAATATTTTATTGTCAATTCATTTTGATTTTTAAATATTATTTAATCATTACAATTTACCAATTTATTGTCTACCTTGCCTCACCAGAATATAAATGTCCTACAATCAGTCTATAAGACAACATCTATACACTCATCTACATTGTCCTTTTAATTCAACACATATTTTCAACCCATGGCATATAACAGGTAGTTAAGTTTTGTTAAATTAAAGAATGAATGTCATTATATACTTTCCTAACATTATTTAAATTGGGACATAATATTTTGCTATAAGAAAGTATGAGAAATTGAATAAATGACTTTGCCTGTCTTACCTATTTTTATTTTTCTCTGTTTAAAGATTATTTATTTATTTATTTATTTATTATTTTTATTATAGATTTGGAGGGTACATGCGCAGGTTTGTCACATGTATATATTGTGTAATAGTAAGGTTTCAGCTTTTAGTGTATCTGTCACCTGAATAATGAACATTATACTGAATAGGTAATTTTTCAACCTTGACCCCACTTCCCTCTTCCTCACTTTTCGAGTCCTCAGTCTATTATATCCTTGTGGATGTCCATGTGTACCCCTTATTTAGTACCCAGTTTTAAATAAGAACATGCACTATTTTGTTTTTTGTTTATAACTTATTTCACTTAGGATAATGGCTTCCAGCTCTATGCATATTGCTGCAAAAGATGTGATTTTGTTCTTTTTTATGGCTGCATGGTATTCCATGGTATGCATGCTAAATTTTCTTTATCCAATCATCCATCAATTGACAGTTAGGTTGATTCCATGACTTTGCTATTTAATGTAGTGCTGCAATAAATATACAAGTGTAGTTGTCTTTTTTTAATATGTTTTTTCCTTTGGGTGGATACCCAGTAGTGGGATTGCTGGGTCAAATGGGAGTTCCACTTTTAGTGCTTTGAGAAATCTCCATGCTGTTTTCTCTAGAGGTTGATATAGTTTGGTTGTGTCCCCACCCAAATCTCATCTTGAATTGTAGCCCCCATAATCCCCACATGTTGTGGGAGGGACCTGGTGGGAGGTAATTGAATCAAGGGGGTGGGTTTTTCCCATGCTGTTCTCATGACAGTGAATAAGTTTCGGGATATCTAATGGTTTTATAAAGGACAGTTACCCTGCACATGCTCTCTTGCCTGCTGCCATGTAAGATGTGCCTTTGCTACTCTTCCACCTTCCACAATGATTGTGAGGCTTCCCCAGCCATGTGGAACTATGAGTCCATTAAACCTCTTTTACTTTATAAATTACCCAGTCTCAGGTATGTCTTTATTAGCAATGTGAGGACAGACTAATACAGAGGTTATACTAATTTACATTACCACCAACAGGGTATGAGCATTTGCTTCTCTCTGCATCCTCACCAACATCTGTTTTTTTTTCTTTAACTTTTTAATAACAGTTGTTCTGAATGGTGTAAGATGGTATCTCATTGCAGTTTTAATTTGAATTTTTCCTATTATTAGTGATGTTGAGCATTTTTTCATGTTTGTTGGCCATTTGTATATCTTATGTTGAAAAATGTCTGTTTTTATCTTTTGCTCACTTTTTAATGGGCTTAATTTTTTTTTTTCTTTTTCTGGTTGAGCTGTTTCAGTTCCATGTAGATTCTGGGTGTTTTTTGCTGGATGTACAGTTTGCGAATACTCTCTCCCATTCTGTAGGTTGCTCACTCTGTTGATTATTTCTTCTGCTGTGCAGGTGGTTTTTATTTTAATTAAGTACAATTTGTCTATTTTTGCTTCTGTTGCATTTGCCGTTGAGCTGTTAAGCATATATTCTTTTCCTAGACCAATGTCCTGAAGAGTGTTTCCTAGGATTTCTTCTATAATTCTTATAGTTTCAAGTTATACATTTAAGTATTTAATCAATTTTGAGTTTATTTTTGTATGTAGTGAGAAATAGAGATCTATTTTTATTTCTTCTGCTATCCAATTTTCCCAGCACCATATATTGACTAGAATAAACTTTCCACATCATATATTTTTGTTGACTTCCTGAAAGGTAAATTGGATGGAGGTATATGATTTTGTTTCTAGGTACTCTAATATGTTCCATTATTTATGAGTCTATTTTTGTACTAGTAACATGCTGTTTTGGTTATGACAGTGTATTAGTCAGGGTTCTCTAGAGGAACAGGACTAATGGGATAGATGTATATATGAAAGGGAGTATATTAAGGAGTATTGACTCATGTCATCACAAGGTGAAGTCACAAAATAGGCTGTCTGCAAGCCGAGTAGCAAGGAAGCCAGTCCGAGTTCCAAAACCTCAAAACTAGGGACGCTGACAGTGCAGCCTTCAGTCTGTGGCTGAAGGCACCAGAGCCACTGGCAAACCACTGGTGTATGTCCAGAGTCCAAAAGCTGAAGAACTTGGAGTCTGATGTTTGAGAGCAGGAAGCATTCAGCATGGGAGAAAGATGGAGGCCAGAAAACTTAGCCAGTCTAGTCCTTCCATGTTCCTCTGCCTGCTTTTATCCTAGCCATACTGGTAGCTGATTAGATGGTACCCACCCAGATTGAGGGTGGGTCTGCCTCTCCTAGTCCACTGACTCAAATGTTAACCTCTTTTGGCAACACCCTCACAGACACACCCAGGAATAATACTTTGCATTCTTCAATCCAATCAACTTGACACTAAATACTAACCATCATATACAGCATTGTAGTACAATTTGCAGTCATAAAATGTGATATGTTCAGCTTTGTTCTTTTTGCTTACAATTGCTTTGGCTCTTTGGGTTCCTTTTTGTTTCCACATGACTTTTAGGATAGTATTTTTTCTAATTCTGTGAAGAATGACGTGGTAATTTAATCAGATTTGTGTTGAATCTGTAGATTGCTTTAAGCAGTGAGGTCATTTTAATGATTTTGATTTTCCAATACATGAGGGGAAGTTTTTCCATTTGTTCATGTCATCTATATCTTTCTATCATCAGTGATTTGTAGTTCTCCTTATAGAGATCTTTCACCTCCTCGATTAAATGTATTCCTAGCTATTTTTATAACTTGTGGCTATTATAAATAAAATTGAGTTGTTGATTTGGTTCTCAGCTTGAATATTATTGGTGTATATGGAAACTACTGATTTTTGCATGTTGATGTTGTAGTCTGAAATTTTACTGAAGTCATTTATCGAGTCTAGTCTTTTGCAGCATTCTTTAGGGATTTCTAAATATAAGGTCATGTCATCAGAGAACAGATCATTTGACTTCCATTTTTCCATTTTGGATGCCTTTTATTATTATTATTTTTTCTTGCCTGATTGCTCTGGCTAGGACTTGGCAGTCCTAGGATGTTGAATAGGAGTGTTGAGAATAAGATATCCTTATCTTGTTCCAGTTCTTGGGAGTGAGGTGCTTTCAACTTTTCCCCATTTGGTATGATGTTGGCTGTGGATTATCATATAAGGCTTTTGTTATCTTGAGTTATGTTTCTTTGATGCCTCATTTGTTGAGAGTTTTTACAATGAAGCAATGTTGGGTTTCATTGAATACTTTTTCTGCATTTATTGAAATGATCATGTGGTTTATGCTCTTAATTCTCTTTATGTAGTAAATTTCACATTTTCTCATATGCTGGGCCATCCTTGTATCTCTGGAATAAAACCCACTTGATTGTGATGGATTATCTTTCTGACATATGGTTGGATTCAGTTTGCTAGTATTTTGTTGTGAATTTTTACATCTATGTTTACTAGCAAAATTGGGCTGTAGTTTTCTTTTTCTGTTGTCTCTTTGCCTGGTTTTGGTATCAGGGTGTTATTGGTTTCATAGAATGAGTTAGGGAGGCATCCCTCCTCCTCAATTTTTTTGAATAATTTCAGCAGAATTGGTATCAGCTCTTCTTGGTGTGTTGGGTAAAATTTAGCTATAAATGCCCCCAGCCCTAAGCTTTTTTTATTAGGAGATTATTTATTACTGATTCATTTTCATTATTCATTATTGGTTTGCTCAGGGTTTCTATTTGGACCTGCTTCAATCTTGGGAAGTTGTATGTTTCCAGAAATTTATCTATTTTCTCATGCCTTTCTAGTTCGTGCACATAGAATGCTCATAGTTGTCTCTGATGATCTTTAGTATTTTCTTGGTATCAGTTGTAATGTTACCTTTATCATTACTGATTGTGCTTATTTGAATATTCTATCTTTTTTGCTTGGTTAATCTAGCTAGCTGACTATTAATTTTGTTTATCATTTCAAGGAAACAATTTTTCATTTAGTTGTTATTTTGCATTATTTTTGGGGTCTCAATCTCATTTAGTTTTGCACTGATATTTGTTGTTTTTTTATTCTGTTAGCTTTGTGTTTGGTTCATTTTTGTTTCTCTAGTTCCTTGAGGTGCAAAGTTAGGTTGTTAATTTGAGAACTTTTTCTTTTTGAGGTAGACATTTAGCAGTATTAGCTTTCCATTTAACACTGCTTATGATGTATTCCAGAGGTTTTGGTATATTGTGTCTCTATTTTCATTTGTTTCCAAAAATATTTTTATTTCTGCCTTAATTTTGCCTGCTTACCCAAAGGTCATTCAAGAGCAAGTTTTTGAGTTTCCACGTACTTGTGTAGTTTTGAGAGTTCCTCTCTGTTTTGACTTTTAATTTTATTCCACTGTGGTCAAAGAAGATACTTGATATTATTTCAAATTTAAAAAAAAATTGAGACTTGCTTTATGTCCAAGAATATGGTCTATTTTGGAGAATGTTCCATGCACAAATTAGAAAAATGACTATTCTGTGGTTGTTTGGTAGAATGTTCTGTAGCTATCTATTAGGTCCATTTGTTCCAGAGTCCAGTTTAAGTCCAGAGTTTATTGCTTTTCTGCCTCGATGATCTGTCTAATGCTGTGAGTTGGGTCTTGAAGCCCCCATTATTATTGTGTTGTTGTCTACCTCTTTTCTTAGGACTAGTAGTTTGTATTTTATGAATCTTTGGGCTTTGGTATTGGGTACATATATATCTAGAACAGTTAAATCATCTTGTTGAATTTGGCCCTTTATGGATTATATAATGGCATTCTTTGTCTTTTTTCACTGTTATTGATTTAAATTCTGTTCCATATAAGCATAGCTATGAATGCTTATTATTGTTTTTCATTTGTATGATATATCTTTTTTTCACTCCTTTGCTTTAAATCTGTGAGTGTCTTTACCTCTTAAGTGGGTCTTTTGTAGACAGCAGATGGTTGGATTCTTTTAAAATCCAATTTGCTAGTCTATATCTTTTAAGTGGAGCATTCAGGCCATGTATGTTCAAAGTTAACATTGATGTGTGAGGTTTTTTCCCCATTCATAGTGTTTTAAGTTAGATGCTTTGTAGTCTCAATTATATAACTGCTTTTTAGGGTTTTGAGCATTGTAGTTATGTATACTTTTACAATGGAAAGTACTGTCCTTTCATTACCATGTTTAAAACTCTTTGAGCGTTTCTTGTAGGACTTGTCTAGTGGTGATGAATTCCCTTGGCATTTGCTTGTTTGACATAGACCTCATTTCTCCTTCATTTATGAAGCTTAGTTTGGCAGGATGTAAAGTTCTTGGCTGGCATGTTTTTCTTTAAGCAGTCTAAAGAAAATAGAGCCCCAATCTCTTCTGGCTTATAAGGTTTCTACCGAGAAGTCCACTGCTAATCTGATGGTATTTCCTTTATATGTGATTCAATGCTTCTGTGTAGCTGCTTTTAAGACTTTTTCTTTCACCTTTCACTTTGACCTTGGATAGTCGGATAATTATATGCTTTGGTCATTTTCCTCTTGTATAGTGTCTTTCAGGTGTTCTCTGAATATCTCGTGTCTGGATGTCTATATCTACAGCAAGATCAGAAAACTTGTAATTAAGTATTCCCTCAAATATGTTTCCCAAACTTCTTACTTTTACTTCTTCTCCCTCAGGAATGCCTATAAGTCATAGATTTTGACCCTTTACGTAATCCCTTAATCCCATATCTCTCCAAGGCTTTCTTAATTTTTTTCAATTATTTTTTTATTTTTGGCTGCGTTATTTCAAAAGACTTGTATTTGAGCTCTGAAATTTTTTCTTCTTCTTGATCTAGTCTTGCTAAAGGATTGAAATGCATTTTGACATTTCTTCAGTTAATTTTTCATTTTCAGAAATTCTTTTTTTCCTAATATATCTATCTTGTCCTTCATCTCCTGAATTTTTTTCTATTTCTTTTTGTTGTTTTTAAATGTTCTCTTTCATCTCATTGAACTTATTTCTAATCCATATTTTGAATTCCTTATCTGTCATTTCATAATTTTCATTTTGGCTAAGCTCCATTGTTTGAGAACTTGTATGGTCCTTTGGAAGTGTCACACCTTAGTTTCTTCATGGTGCTGGAGTTCTTACACTAGTTACTTCTCATCTGGAGAAGCTATAATTATTAGTTTTGAACTTACTTTCATTTGGATGGGCTTTATTTCCCCTTGGCGGCATGTCTGCCTTGTATTTTGGATAGGGTCCTTTGTCTTTGCTTTTTTCTGCTTTAGGGGGCCAAGGCTCTGTATGAGTTCCTGGGTATAGATAAGCTTAGTGTAACAGTTTTCTCAAATGCTAGTTGTTTCTATGTTGTAGTAGTGTTTTACTATGTGTGTCATCAGGCTCCCTGCCTCCTGCAGAGGTAGGGAGGTGGAGGTCACAGGAGAATTATGTCATTCCACAGTGCTGTGTACTTCTGTCAGCAGAAATTATAGTGGAACGTGCAGTTCACCCTAGGGGACAGTAGGTGGCACTTGCAGGTAAATTCCAACCAAACGCTGAACAGTAGTGTCAGCAGAAATTGTGATGAGTTGTGCAGGTTGACCTCCTGGTCAGTAGATAGTGCTTTCAGGCAAGAGGCAGTTTCAGTGGTAGTAGTGGAATTTTTATTTGACCTTTGTTGATCAGAGGAAGCACTAGTGTGTCCCAGGTGATGTGTGAGGCCATGGGGTTTTCAGGGGTCCCCATCCGGGGTTCTGACACAAAGGGAACTAGAGAGGACAATATGAGGCAGGGTTGGATGGTACAAGTCCATAACCAGGCTCTCCAAGATGGGCTTAAGCGCTGGTTTTGGCTGGAGTCCAGGGACAGCTCTCAGGCCTTTGGAGCAACTCTTCAAGAGGGGCAGAAGTGCTTCTTTCATACCACAGAGCCCTCTCAGAAGAAAACCAGACAGGGTTTTCAGCCCAGCAAGTGGCAATGGAAACTGCCCGGCTCCCACAGCCCTAACCTGGAAGGTCTTCAGTGTCTGGCAGCCAGCAGCAGGACAGAATGGTTAGGCTAGTCTAAAGCTGTCTGCGTTCAAATCACAAAGCTATTCCGGGATTTCTAGGGTTCTAGACTCTGTGGGGCAGAAACCACAGTTACCAGGCCACACCTTTCCCATTCCAGTCTTGTAAAGGGAGGGATGCCCAGGTCCTAGGCCACTCCACAATCTGGTGCCACACTCTTCTTTGTGTTTTGACAGTGGGGGCTCCTTCCCCACTTGAGATTAGATCACAAATCTCATCTCCATTTTCCTGGATGGTGTGTTCAAGTCTTAGGGAACTGGGACCAGGCCAGAGGATTTGCCAGGAGCTCAAGCACCAGCCTGGATATGGAGGGACAAACTGCTCCAAGGCTGCCAACAACTCAACTGGGGTGGGGCAATGGCGGCTAGGTTGTGGGCCCATCCTCTGTGGGAATGGCCTAGCAGGCAGTTTTGGGAGAGACTGGCAGGCACGGGGCCCATGATTCAGATGGAGTCTGTCTTTGGGGCCCGTAAAAGTGACCAGGCCCTGCTCATTCCCTGGCCCAGCAGACAGCAGCAGCTGCAGAAGCTTAGGATACAGAGCCATGTGACGTAGGCACCCACAGTCATGCTTTGCTGCAATGCTCAACTCATGGAAGGCTTTGAGGCTCCACATGCGTTCAAGCAGCGACTTTTCATGGTTACCAGGTATCTCCATCTACCAATCCAAAGATCTTCAGGTGTCAGAAACCTTCATAGCTAGAATCTCAGAGGTCCACAGTAGGAATATGATACCCTGGGGTTCCTTCACTGACTCCTTTCTCGGGTCTGGATCTGGGTCTTGGGCCCAGTCCTAGTATCTGGCAATGCTGAGCAGGCAGCCCTACTTCTTCCCTCTTAACCACAATTTCTTCCATCACCTCTCTTTTGAATTTTAGTGCTCTCTTTCAAAAGATCTGTTCAAAGTGTGAAGATTGTCATGTTTTGTTTCCTCCCCACGGAAGAGGTGCATTCTAACTGCCTCTCACCAGCCATCTTGAACTCACATCCCGGTCTTACCTATTTCTAAATAAAAGCCTGTATGTAGGCAACAGAATAAACCTGAAAAATATTTAATCTGTAAGTGATTTAAAATATTTTCCAATATTAAATTATTAAATAATTCAATATTACAATATTCGATATTATATTTTAATAATATAAATAGAAATATATTTTTATAATACTGAATAAAATTTGAAGTTAATTCCACAATTTGATTATCAATTGATAATGAGTACTTATTTTCTTTCATTGTGCATTGTTCAATATTGCCTCCTTTATTTCAATAATGACATTTTCACCCTTTACCTTCCAACTCTGTTCTCTTTGCTAAGATCAGCATTCTCTCTGCCATCAATGTTCTCTCTAAGATACTATAATGCAGGAGAACATTATATTCAGCAACCTTTAATAGAAAGAGTTACTTTGTTGAGTCTTAAATACATTCTCAAGTACCTCTTTCATTACACAGTACGTAGTGCTGTTGTAGAAATATTACATCAAGCCTTCTCTCATAACTGAATACTTTTTATTTGTTCATTAAAAGTATTTGTCACCTTTTTATGTTAATATAACTTATTTTTCTTAGTTTTCACTAGCTCCTGCAAATAGGCATTTAAAGACTTTTCACACAGGCAGCAAGACCTGCCAGTAAGTCTAAATCCTCATAGTGAATTCAGCTTCAGTTAACATCATGTCTCTCATCCCTTTCTTCTTCTAGTTCATTTTCTCTGAAGCACATCAATATGATGATAATAATCAACAGGTGTTAATTCAATGAAATTGTTGTCCAAATATTCAAAATGAACTCCAGATGTTAGAAAAAAATGTGTTTTGTTAAATTTTGGCTAACATCTTGACTTACTCATCTTAACTGATTTCAGGGTTTGGGATTAACTAGAGAAAATACATTAGTGATTAAGTGCTTTATATATTTTTAATTTTATATTTTAGAATAAATTCCTTAGCCAGTTATTCTTCTAAGAGAAATAAGCTTCACATAATTTTCTGAAACATATCTTATGTGGAAATGCTTTGGAAATGTTAGGGATTACATGGATACAGTGAACTATTAGTTGTACAAATTCATACATGTTTTTCTGACACTGAATTCAGTCAGAAAACCATAAAAAGAACATTATGGCTATAAAAGAAGTCTGCAGTAAAATAAGATATTTTAGGTGTAAAATCTGGACTTGAAAACTATATCACAAATTAATGCTGCTGCTCTGTAAAGGATGAAGAAGAAGGCTATGAAAAAAATCAAATAATCTAGTAAAATTATTTTTTGAAAAAATAAACAAAGAAGGATTTTTACAATCTCTAGCCCATTAAACAAAAAGTCAATTTGGGATATAATCATAAGGGGAGCTTAAAAAGGGAACGATTGACATAAAGCAATAAGAGAACCTAAGAATGTTATAGGAATAATAAATCTTATCAAGCTACAGTTATTTCATTTATTAATGAGGTTGTGAGATACTGCTTGGAAATACACGAAACAGATATTTTACCACAACTATAGCAAAGAACTTGACAAGGTCTCTCATTATATTCATATTTAAAAGATGGAGTTTTAGCTAAGCATGGTGGCACATACCTGTAGTCTCAGCTACTTGAAAGGCTGAGGCTGTAAGACTGGCAGCCTCAGGAGTTCAAGTACGGCCTGGGAAACACAGTGAGACGCCATCTCTAAAATAATTATTCAAAAATATGAAGTTTTGCAAACCATATTTCAGGATTTTTTTTCAGTGTATTGGTATCCTCAGATAGAAAACAATTGCAGATACAAAAAAAATCAATTTGTCCTTCCGTGTCCACTTTCTTCAGTTGCCTTTTCTGTTTTTAGGCTTCCTCTTATTAGTAGTGCAACACAATGATGTGGAAATTTCACTCTTTCTTCAAGCGTTTTTTTTTTTTCCTCTTTCTCTAAAGCTGCATTTAGCCCCAGAATTCATAAAAACTCTATAGAGAGTTTTTAATGTACATATAACTTAGACCCTTTAAGTGTTGAACTTGTTACTTCATCACTTGCTGACAAAACTCTCACTGGTTTTTCTATTCTCCAAGTGAGCTAAGCCCAATCAACAGCTTGCAACAAGAATAGGTAAACTCCTCCCAAGATAAAATAGCTGGAAATCATTTCTAATGGCTGTTTTCCACTGTGAAATTTTAGTCCATTTACTTCTTGCTGCTGTCACAACTCTCTTAAGCCTTTAAAATGTTATTTTGCACAGACTGTTTATTCCTTAATGTATGTTCTTGGTGCCTTTGTTGAAAATGAATTGGCTGTAAGTGTGTGAATTTACTTCTGGATTCTCAATTCTATTCCATTAGGCTATGTGTCTGTTTTTATGCCAGTATCATGCTACTTTAGTTAGCATAGCTTTGCAGTAAATTTTCAAGTCAGGTAGTGTGATGCTTCCAGCTTTCTTCCTTTTGCTCAGGATTGCTTTGGCTATCACAGTCTTTCAGAGTTCCATATAACATTTAGGATTGTTTTTTCTATGAAGAATGTTGTTGGTATTTCAATAGGAATTGCATTGAGTCTCTAGATCACTTTGGGCAGTGTATATATTTTAACAATATTAATTCTTTCAATAAACATGGGATATCTTTCCATTATTTTCTATCCTCTTCAAATTTTTTTCATCAGTGTTTTATAGTTTCAATGTAGACATCTTTCACTTCTTTGGCTGAATTTATTCCTAATCATTTTATGTTTTTTATTGCTTTTGTAAAGAAGATTGCTTTCTTGGTTTCCTTTTCAGATTGTTTGCTGTTGATGTGTAGAAATGCTATTGATTTTTGTATGTTGGTTTTGTAGCCACATGCAGCACAAAACAAGACCCTTATATCTCACCATATACAAAAATTTAAAAAAAATGATTAACAAAGTTAACTGTAAAACCTACTTTTACATTTTTTACATTTAAAAAATTAAAAGTAAAAAAACTACTATAAAATTAGTAGAAGAAAACATTGGGGAATCATATTAAGACACTGGTCTGGGCAAAGATTTTTTGGGTAAGACCTCAAAAGCACAAGAAAAAAATAAAAAATGGGTAAATGGGTTTACATCAAGTTAGAAAGCTTCTGCACTGTAAAGGAAACAATCAACAGAGGGAAGAGACAACCTCCAGAATGGAAGAAAATATTTGCAAACTATCCACATGACAAGGGACTAATAACTAGAACATATAAGTAACTGAAACAACAAAACTGCAGAAAAACAAAAGAAAATTGGTTTAAAAATGGGCCAATGATCTAAATAGACATTTCTCAAAAGAAGACATACAAATGGCCAAGAGGTATATGAAAAAATGTTCAGTATCACTAATCATCAGGGAACTGCAAATCAAAACCATAATGAGATGTCATTACAGCCCAGTTAAAATGGCTATTACCAAAAAAAACAAAAAAGTAACAAATATTGCCAAGGATGGGAGGGGGATCTCTTTTGCACTATTGGTGAGAATATAAAGTATTATAGCCATTATAGGAAATAGTGTGGAGGTTCCTTAAAAAACTAAAAATAGGAGTGTATTCTCCAGTAATCCCATTGATGCATACATATCCAAAAGAAGGGAAATCAGTATTATATGTGCACTATCATGTTTAATGCAGCACAGTTCACAATAGGTAAAATATGAAATTAGCCTAAATGTTCATCAACAGAAAATAGATAAATAAAATATTGTATATATACACAATGAATTATTATTCATCCTTAAAGAAGAATGAAAGCCTGTTATTTGCAGCAACATAAATCAAACTGGAGGTGATTATGTTAAGTGAAATAAGTCAGGCTCAGAAAGACAAATATCACATGTTCTCACTCACAAATAGGAGCTAAAAAAATTAATCTCATAGAGGTAGAGAGTAGAATGGTGGTTTCCAGAGACTTTAAAATATGTATATATTTTACATATATATACACATTGTGTATATATGTATATATTTTACATATATATACACATTGTGTATATATGTATATACGTGTGTATGCATACATGTATATGCACACATGCATATACATATGTGTATACATACATGTATACGCACACGTGCATATACGTATGTGTATACATGTATACGCACACGTGCATATACATATGTGTATACATGTATACGCACACGTGCATATACATATGTGTATACATGTATACGCACACGTGCATATACATATGTGTATACATGTATACGCACACATATATATGCATGTATATACACATATGTATATACGTGCATATACACATATGTATATATGTGCATATACACATATGTATATACATGTGTGCATATACACATTGTATGTGTATATATATACACACAATACACTTACAATGTGTATATACATATATACACACACATTTTATGTGTATATATATGCAAATGCACATTGTATGTGTGTGTATAAATGCAAATACACATTGTGTGTGTGTGTATATATACACATACAATATACACATTGTACATGGGTATCTATATATACACATATATATATACACACATTCACATTGTATATATATATATATATATATATATATATACACACACACAATGTGTATGTTCCAGAAAAAAAAATCTGTATATACACACACAATGTGTGTGTGTGTGTGTGTGTGTATGTGTTGTGTGTGTGTTTTTCTGGAACATATATATTTCTGGAAAACAGTGCTAGTTCTGTTATCCTAGTTTTAGTTATTTATTCTTTTGAATACTTACAAGGCTTTATGTCTATTTTTCTTATGTTTTCCTTAGCAGAGAATGCACACATACATTCAAATTATTTTTGTACATTATTTCCCCATAGAACAATATCTGAGAAAATATATGAGGAGGAGAAGACAATGAATGATTCATCTTTTTCCACCATTGCACCTATTGCATTGTGTAATAAGTGATAATAGAGGGATGAGAAAAACTAGCATTTCCTGAGTATTATTTTTCACTTGCTGAACATTATATATAAAATGCCACTTCTTATAATGTTTCTGAAATACAGTTATTATTTATATTTTATACATTTGGAAACTAATGATCAGAGAATGTATGGATTTATTTATGCACAGGAACACAGCCACCAAAGATACAATCTATTTAAAACTAGGTATGGTTGGCTCTAAAATATTTTCTCTACCCTGTTCTATGCTATTCAAACACTAGACGCTCTATATACATTTGGTGAAAAAGCAAAGGAATAAATAATTGTATAAAGAAATAAAATAAAATGTATTTATTATCCACTATATAATTTAGAATGTTCTAGGACCTTAAGCATTCTGTTTAGAGTTATTTTATTCTCACATGTGTCCTGAGGCAGTATTTTCCCCGTAGTATAGATAATGAGACAGGTTCAAAGAGATTAAATTATTTTTCTAACACAGGACAGCTGGTTTATACTTTGGAAGAATTTTTGGCTGATCGGAAAATGCAAATCATCCTTGGAAATTTAATGTAATATCTCCCTAGTTTGGAGCACATTTTAGGGAGGCCATTCTTAAATACTGAAATGTTACTTTTTTGTTACTGAATCATTTCATTTTTTAAACTAGTTTTCTAAATAGTGTGAAGTCTCATAACAAGTTATATTTCTCCTTTACTAATTTGCTTAGCAAATCTCTCTTTACAGAATACAAATGTGATTGGGTAATTTCTTGAAGCTATCACACATTCCAAATTAGTGGTGCTGTTTTAAAAAATTTAGCTAATTCCTTTATCAAAATATGTAAATAATTGTAGAAATAGATTTGTTATATGTTAGCAAAATAGCAAAGTTGGAAAATCTGCTACATCTTATCTTTCAGCCTTTCTAATACCTTCTTATCTTTTGGGTCTCAATTTAAACATAATTTCTTCAGTAAACTGTTCCCTGGTACTGCTCTTAATACCAGGATAGATATTATGTTACCCATGTAGCTGTTTACTAAAAATACTTATAATCAACTGGTTGATGTCTTTCATCTCTATTGGGTCACAGGATCTATGAGGGCAGAGGCTCTATCTGCTTTGCTTACTGCACTATCTCATGTATCTCATTCAATTTCTGGTATATAATTTTTTAAATGGGTGACTTACCAAATAAAGATAACAATCTTTAGCAGGGGTCTCTTTATGTTTAAAGCATTTAACCTAAATATCCGTTTCCGTAATAATGTTCTTGAACTTTTCCTCATAAGACCAGACTATAATACTATAATATCCCTGTATGTGTGTGTGTGTATATATATATATATATATATATATTTTTTTTTTTTTTTTTGAGATGGAGTCTCACTCTGTCACCCAGGCTGGAGTGCACTGGCTCGATCTCGGTTCATTGCAAGCTCTGCCTTCCGGGTTCACAGCATTCTCCTGCCTCAGACTCCCGAGTAGCTGGGACTACAGGCTCCCGCCACCACGCCCGGCTAATTTTTTTTGTATTTTTAGTAGAGATGGGGTTTCACCGTGTTAGCCAGGATGGTCTTGATCTCCTGACCTTGTGATCCGCCCACCTCGGCCTCCCAAAGTGCTGGGATTACAGGTGTGAGCCACTGCACCCGGCCTTATCCCTCAATATTTTATAGTCAGCAATCAGTAGTAGAAAATGGAATAAATGCTAATTAAGATTCACCTAATTTGTCTAGTCACATCATAGCACCTATGTTCATTAACAAAAGCATTCTACCCTCAAGATTGTCCTTTGGGTCTGAAATAAACATGCATAATGGCAAACATATCATAAGCATGGTAAATTGCCAAATGGTTTAGGTATTATAGTACATAGAGTACTTCATTTTTGTGCTTTATTTAATCACTAATATTCATTTATAGATAAATATATAGATATGTACTTCTTTGCTGAATGCATCTTTCTTCCAAATTGTTAGTATACTGCTGGTTAGGGCAATTCCAAAACGCTTCACTGATAAATGAAAGTCACTTCTTTAATCACACTATCAGAACAAAAAGAAGACACAGCTTTGCATTGTTTTTTTCTAAAATATGGCAGAAAACGAAACTGTTTTGCAAAAACATTTAAACGCTATCCTTTGAAAAGAAGCAGGAAATCAAGTCAATTTTATTAGTTTGGGGAAAGGTTATTTCAGTTGTACACAGATTTACATAATATTTATTATATATCATGATGAACAAGTCAAATGTTTTCTGCAAATATTCTTTAGTCACAGAGATTACCATTCAAATGTACCTACATATGTAAGGTGATGAATTTTTTTATGCAATAATTATTAATTTATTATTCACTCATTTAACAGATACATATTAAGTTCTGAATATGTAATAGGTACAATTCCATGTGTTGCAGTTATAGAGATGGATAGGACAGTCCCAAACTTATGACGCTTATAGTCCCAAGTAGTCAGAGATGGACTGTATAATATGCCGGGCACAGGGCAAAACAAGAATGAGGGAAGTTGTTGACAGAACAAGAAAAAAAAAACCGGTCATTCAAGGTAATACAGCACAAAACTGTTTTGTCCTTCTGCAGTCTCTTTTTGACCTGTGATGATAAATTTTTTTATTTGCTACTCAATGTGGCACTGTCTTGGGGATAGTTATACATACCACCTTCGTACCAGCTCACTGATTGAATCCCTAAAGAATAGACTACACCCAAGAGATTTCAAACTCTAGTCAGTTTCCCTTGGATTCCTGGACCCCAGATGGGTGAGAGGCCCAAAAGTCTGAATTCACAGTGAATCACTGATTCACAGTGAATTACTGAATGCACAGTGATGTGCCAGCCCTGGATGGAGACAGCCACCACGCTCTGCACTGAGATGCCATGGACCACTTACCTGACTCTGACCTTCCTTGCACCAATGGCCAGCCCCCACCTGGAGTCTGGTTGCAGTGGGTGCAGATGACAAAGGGGAAGTGAAGTGGGGCCCAGGGCCCCAGGCAGTAAGAGGAATTGAGGATCTACTCAGGGGAAGTGAGAGGCATTTGGAGGGAGACTGCCTGTAAGGAAAGGTTTTAAAACCTCTCCCCATCTCTCTCTCTCTCTCTCACACACACACAGACACACACAGACACACACACACACACACCCCTTACATTGTCCTGCCAGGCTTTATTTAGAAAGCACAAATTCAAGACAATGACTACAAATCATTGAAACCCCAGTGTAGAGCCCTTCTGAGAGTGAGGCCCTATGTGACTGCAGTAATCATAGTCCTCTTAAGTTGCCCAGCAAGCAGGAGAGAGTAAATGGATAATTAGAAAGCACTGCGAAGATTCAGCAACAGGGTATTGTGGAGACCCAGAAGAGGAACAGCCATCTCAATGTGGGTTTGCCTCTTATGTTTGCATTCACCTGGCAGTCAGGGAAAATTTCTTAAGGGGTGTGACTTCTGAACTGCATCATAAAGAATATGTAAGAATGGTCCAACTCAAAAGGCAATAGAAAGGCATTCCAAGTAGAAAGGGAAAAATCTGGAAAGACACTGAAAGCATGTTGTCAGCTTAGAAGAATTTAGTGTTCTGGAGCCTAGAAATTAAAGTAGGTAGATATAAAATACAGAAAATGAACAGATAGAAGAAAGCAGGTCAAACTGGACCTAGCATATCTTACTAAAGAGCTTAATCTCATATTTTTATAACCCCTTTAATCCCTTACTAAAGGCATAATTGTGTACAAAATTGAGAGTCACTATAGGGTTCTAAATATGGGAATGTCGTGGCCCCAAAGAGTAAGCTGCAGCTCATCCAAAGCTGGCTTGGTGGAATACTACAAACTAGGACCAGACAGTCTTTTCCTGAACCTAAAGGTTAAGTGTAGGTGTGTTTGTGTGCTGTCAGTTTGTTCAAGTTTGGAATTTTGGCCAGGTCAGTGGTTCACGCCTGTAATCCCAGCACTTTGGGAGGCTGAGGCAGGCAGATCACCTAAGGTCAGGAGTTCCAGACCAGCCTGGCCAATATGGTGAAACCCCGTCTCTACAAAAAACACAAAAAATTTAGCTGGGCGTGGTGATGGGCGCCTGTAGTCCCAACTACTCAGGTGGCTGATGCAGGAGGGAATCACTTGAACCCAGGAGGCGGACGTTGCAGTGACCCAAGATTGCACCATTACACTCCAGCCTGGGCAACAAGAACGAAACTCTGTCAAATAAATAAATAAATAAAAATAAAAACATAAATAAGTTTCAATATATATTTCAAGCCAATTTACACATACAAATTCATTCAGAAAGAAAATCTGAAGAATGTTTCTTATCCTCGTGTTTTCTCTGAGGAAAACGGGGAAGCTAAACAAACTGGTTGGGATTTGATGACATTGTCAGAGGAATCGCTGTCTTTGAATAGAAAAGCAAGAACGGAAGACTCCGTGGCCATGAAGTCTTCACTGACAAGTTCAGAACTCTATCTCCTCTTCTTTGAAATACAATGTCATATATATAAAATATATATAATATATATCATATATCATTGTATATCTATATATCATTATACATCATATATATCATAATTATATATGATATATATTATGATATATATCATATATATGATATGATTATGATATATATCATATATAATAATGATCAAATTAGTTATTACTCATGAATATGCTTTTTAAAAACTTAAGTATTCTAAGAGTTTAATTACTTCTTTACAGAAGAAATGTGAAACTCGGATTAGTCAGAATTACAAAAAATGTACAATCTTAAAACAGGAAGTATAAAGAAAAAGGTTGGCGTCATTAGGAAAGAAAAATTAAGAGGAGATAATGAAGTAATGTGGTTCTTATCTCTGAGAATTTAGTTTCTAGTAAACATATCCAAAATATTTAACATCTCTTAATACCTGAATTTGGTATTTTAAGTTTGAGATGCAGACACAGTTATACCCACTACTCTTGTTTTTTTTTTTTTTTTTGAGACGGGGTCTCGCTCTGTCGCCCAGGCTGGAGTGCAATGGAGGGATCTCGGCTCACTGCAAGCTCCGCCTCCAGGGTTCACGCCATTCTCCTGCCTCAGCGTCCGGAGGAGTAGCTGGGACTACAGGCGCCCACCACCACGCCCGGCTAATTTTTCGTATTTTTAGTAGAGACGGGGTTTCACCGTGTTAGCCAGGATGGTCTCGATCTCCTGACCTTGTGATCCGCCCGCCTCAGCCTCGCAAAGTGCTGGGATTACAGGCGTGAGCCAGCGCGCCCGGCCTATACTCACTACTCTTAAAATTATATTTTACTTTTTCAGCATATCAAAAACTGCTCAAATGGATTATATAATAATTTCAGAAACTGGTAGCATATTTTTCATTTCCAGGGAATAACTCTTAACATTTTGTAATATTAATGAAGATTTAAAAAAAAAACAAAAATACACTGTAAACTGCATAACTGAGCAATTCCTTAGTGTAAACTCAGTAGCAATCAATTAGGAGACAATGAAGGCTCCTAATGGCAATGCATTTTGGTGTTTTTATTTGGTACACACATTTTGTATCTGTGGAACTCATAACCAGAAAGAATTGTGCAAGTCAAGGATGTTGCGGCTAGTTAATTTGACATGCATTATTTATAGAAACCTGGTACATTTTTATTCATGGAAAACGCTATTACTGCTATTCTTATCCCTGATTCTACTGCTTGGAAAAAGAACGGAAGCAGACAATATAAATGAGTAATTCTGAAAGAATCAAACATAGTCCTGTCTGTATTTCAGCCATTTCCAATAATAGAGCCTGCACTGCAGTTCCCTTTTTCTAGCTACTAATAACTCTCTTGCCTAAGGACAGCGTTAAGTGAAACCTTAGGAAGCAGTAGATTAGAAAAGTTATTTTGGTTTTATATATTTTATTTATCAATATAAGTAAAAAAAAATCCATTAATACTGAGAGTTCCAGGGAAGAACATCTCTATCCAAGCTAATATGCTAATCAAGCATGTACTACATAACTCGAGATAGAGACGTAGAGAAAACACTGGACTCTAAGCCCTGATTTTTGAAATATGACCTCTAACTTTTGTATCCATTTATACATTCAAATGCATTCAGAAAGGAAATCTCAAAAACATTTCTTATCTAAAGCAGATTCAGAGTATGTAACCTTATTAAACCAGAGGGATTTGAATCACAGAATATTACAAAGAGCTCTGTTGTTGTCAAATGCTACAAAGCACAGGTGTTGCCACCTTGTTGCTGATGTATTTAGTCATGTCATTTTCATCTCTTTTTGCTTCTTTTTCCTATGTGTAAAATGAGAGACTTGATCTCTATGATTTCACTGGTCTATTCAATGCTGTAAATATTTATCAGTTGATTCATTGCAACTCATGTGTTACCTAGGTCCAAGAACCTTCTTTCCACTTGAGATACAGATTGTATTGACCTAATAGAAATTTTTGCTCTGGAATTCCAGAATTGTACCCAAGCATCTTTAAGTGACCTAAAGAATTATAAAAATGATTCATATTCTCATGGTTGAAACATTTACTTCCTTGTTTAGTGGGCCTTTTTGGCATCTTATATATGCAATTTTTGCCCTGAATTATGTCAGTCTGGACTTGAAAATAAGCCCACTTCTTGCTTTTGAGAAAAAATAATGTGAAACAAAACAACACCATGCATGCGCGCGCGCGCGCGCGCACACACACACACACACACACACACACACACACACCTTTCAACCCAAGAAATTGGTTTATTAAATGTTACTGAAGAAGATGAAAAGGTAAGAATGGTATCATAGCAACAGAAACAGTTTCAAATTAAATATTAGCAAACCTGTTTCATGAAGAGCTTTTGGTCGCTGAGGGCTTTTAATAGCAACTTTGACTTCTTTGGCCTAAAATTTTCTGGATTCTCTGTTGCTTTTCTTCTCTCTCCTTTTCAGCTATTCTTTATCCTTCCATGAGGAAACTCAACAACTTATTTAATCTTGTTGTTTGTCCTTGGCTTCCTGACGACTCATCCAAATATTAACCTTTTTTATCTTCACTTCATGAGGGAAATTTGTTGCCAATGTTAAATGCTCATGTTTATCCCCCTACCAGCTAAGTTTTAAGCGCTATGCTGGGATGTGAGGCATATCATTATTTTCAAGGTAGAAATAATTTTTGTATATATCAAGTATTTGGAAGCAGTAAATATGTGATATCAACACTTTGTACTGCTGACAGAGAATGTAAAAGTTAAAAGTTTTTTTTTAAGTTTTGTAAAAGTTCTAGAGTTTCTAAGAGTTTGTAAAAGTTTTTATCTGTTGAGAACCAGCACCTTGAATTATGTCTTACTGGAAAGTCTATACCATTTAAAGATAATAAGGAAAACTAATAAATATTCTTTATAGGTAGTGTGTTTGACAGTTAAAAATTTTTAATCTGCATTCAAGGTTACAATATTGTTCGTAATTTCAATGCTTCCTAAATGATATACTTGTTAGAACTACACATCACTGTATATTCACCACTTAGGGTTCATTTTGCTCCCTTGGGTTCTTTCATTCACCTCCTACCCAGTTGTTTTCTAAGTATCTCAGGAAGCAAAATAATGTGGGAAGAGAGGAACTTGTTAAGATAGAGGGACAATGCTCCAGTCTCCAAAAGAATCAATACTTGTGAATTCAATGGCTGACTGCCCAGTTATCTCCTTGATACAGACTCTGAGTGCCTGAACCAGATATCAGGAAGAGGCAGAAAGATGAAGCAGCCCCCTTTGTTCTTTCACTCTACCAAACTTGTTTTTTGAAGGTGGTACAACTTGTGTTAATCACTGAGAATAATTCTGACTTCAGTATTGTTGTCTTAGAGTCACTGAAAATAGCACTCATATTCAGGCATTACATAGGTTTTTCAGGCTTCTTTTTTGAGTTATCCATTTTAATTTCTTATTTTTAAATAGTTTAATGGGAATTTGAGAGGCAACACCAGGGCTTTTTACTAAGATGATGTTTTTGACTAGAAATAACTTGGAACAATTAAAAAATTTATGTGTTCTGTAATCTCAGCAGTTTGGGAGGCCAAGGTGGGCAGATCGCTTGAGGTCAGGAGTTCAAGACCAGCCTGGACAACATGACAAAACCTCATCTCTATTAAAAATACAAAAATTAGCTGGGCATGTTGGTTCACGCCTATAATCCCAGCTACATGGGAGGCTGAGGCAGGAGAATCGCTTCATGTCACTGCACTCCAGCCTGGGCAACAGAGCAAGACTCCATCTCAAAAAAAAAAAGTTTATGTGTTATGTAAATCGTGGCATCATTATTGCCATTATTGAAGAGACAGAGATTGGCTATGAAATAAAATAACCATAATAACAATGATATTATAAAAGACCTTTAAAATCTGGGAGATATTTTTGAGATGCATTCATACAACTATTTTCTCAATAGAAAAAGGATTATGATTCTTCTCTATTAGATGTACTGGTAGATAGTATATTCTATAGGACAAGAGAAAAGGTTTTTGTAAAAAGTGTTATTCTATTGTTAGTAATTCATTCATTCATTCAATTCACTCATTTAACTTGGATCCAACATTTGCTTCTAAATGGAAATGTTGGAAAAATTAAGTCCTATGTAACAGCAGTCAATATGATAATTTAAAAAACAGCCACAAAAAGACCATCTAAGAATTAATTGAAGACCAAAACGGTTGATCCCATTTCTTGGCTTCTGTGATGGTATAGGGCTACTTTTTATGATTATGAAATTAATGTTACTATCTAGTGACCATTATAGACATGAGTCTGAGTGCTTTTGTGAGAATTCATAGAATAGCTCTCTTTCTACATTATAGGCTCTGATTTAGTAAGTGAAGATGATTTCATAGATGAAGGGCCTCTACTGTTGTCAAATGACTATTAAGCAGAATGCATTTAATTGGAAGGTGATATTTCACTGGAATTAATACATATCAATACCTATTTTGCTTAATAGTTTTCTGATTAATACTGATTTTTTGCCCTTATTTCTAGAATGACAGTTTTTCATTTTCACAATAGCTTTCTATTCCCAAAGCTCTTTCACATATTTTATTTAAGTCTATAAATAAACTACTTAGGATGTTTACTCCTTGCTTCACAATTTTCAATAATTTCCCAAATAAACAGAAGCAGTGCTCTTAAAAAGCACCAAGTGACTCAAAATTTGTATAGTTATAATGTGAGGAAATATGCCAACATGATAGGCAGCTCTCAAACAGTTTAAAAGACTGGAAGGCATGTCTAAGTCAGGTCTTGGTAAATGGCTAGAATATTGCATAAGCCAAATATTATACTGCAATATTCTAAATGTCTAACTTCCCCTTGATATCATCCTTCATAGGTTTCTTTTTTTTCACCTGAAGCAAATAGTTTGTTTCTCAGTAGTCTAATTTAGTTAGCCATAGAGTCCTTTGTAAGAAATAGAATTACTCTTGCAAACAGTGTCTATTTTTTATAGGAACTAATGGTGGCCTCCATAATAAATGAAAAGAAACATACTAAAAGATGAATAGAGTATTTCTGAAGAATCTCTTGGAAAGGAGATGGCTTCATGGCCCATAGGCACATACAGGAATGTGTGTATACCCACACACATACACATTTATATGGATATATTAAATTCATGGCTATTTAAATTTTAAAAGTAGTATTGAGTCAGAATTCTGGCCATCTTAAAGCTGTTTTTACATGTATTCAACTTATAAATTATATCATTTATGATTATCACAAATAATATAAGGAGACCTATTTTGCTTTCTTCTTCTGACCCATTTTCTGTAATATATGTTTTCCAATATGATAATCAATAAAATTTAGGTATATCTTTTAACTTTGCCTTGCTTGAATTATTAATGATGCTAAACATTTTCATATGTATTCTGGCTAGGCAGATAGTAGGATCTGTACCTATGGAAAGTATAGTTAAGCATTATTGACTTGTTTCATTTATTCATATATTCATTCATGTATTTATTCTTTAAACAAGAACTTATTAAAAGTCTAGTATAAGCCAGGCAATGCTCTCTTTGTTGGATTTACAACACTGAAACACCAGGTGGAAAAATCCTGCCATCAGGAATGTTTTATTCCCATGGAAGAGACAAGAAATAAACACAATACGTAAATGAAGGTGAAAAGAATGTGGGAGAGGGTATTGACAGTGTAATTGTACTTTTCCATGGAGTAGTCAAGGAAGGCTACATAGGGAAACTGATTTATGAGTTAATGACTAGTCTTAAGTGAATGAGCCAGGCACTCAGGCAGATACCTGATGTTCCAGCCTGAGGGAACAGCAAGTGAAAAGGCCCTGCACTGCAAAGTGCAATAGGTTAGGAATTTCAAATTAGACAGAGTGGTGTGAAGACGGCAAGGCTGATAAGAGTCAGTGGCATGCTAAGAAGGTTATAGTAGATGTCCAATCCTGTATGAAGGCAGAAAGAGGTGTGTTTTTTGTAGAAAATGTATAAGCTATAATAAAGCCAACTAAAAATAGTTATTTTGATTCTCACCAGGCATCTGGCAATTACATACATTGCCAGTGATAAAATATTTCTCTCCCCAAGTCAGATTACCACCATTATTCTTATTTTGGCATGACCCTGATGACACTTTAGACTAAAAAGGTAATATGGAAATCAGATTGTATAAATCCTTAAAAGATATTTAAATGACTTTGGGACTTACTCTATGTGTAATTTAGTGCCACTGGAGGATCTTGAGTGGAAGAGTAACATGGTCTGACTTAATTTTTAAAGGCTGGCTCTAGATAACATGTTGAGAATAAAATGAAGTGGCCAAGGACAGAAATAAGAAGATCAATTAAAGGCATTGGCAAAAATCTGGGTAAAAAATGATAATAGGTTGAATTAAGGTGGTAAAAGATGAGTCAGGGAGAAGTAGAATTTTTTGCATCTATTTTAATATTGTAATTTATAGGGTGGCTTTTTTGGAGATTTCTTTATTATGGTTATATATATATATAACAAAATTTACCATTTTGTTATAAGTGTACAATTTATTGACATTAAGTACATTCCCAATGGTGTGCTACCATCACTACTATCTATTTTCACAATTTTTAAATTATTAAACAGAAGTTCTGTACCCATTAAAGAATAACTCTCACATAAACCCTAGTCCCCAGTAACTTATATACTACTTCCTGCCTATGAATTTTCCCTTTTACCTTATAGTCTACCTTATATAAGTAGAATCATACAATATTTGGCCTTTGCATCTGGCTTATTTTAGTTAGAATAATATATTCAAGTTTCATTCATGTTGTAGCATGTATCAGAATCTTCATTTTTTATGCCTGAATACTAGTATATATGATACATTTTATTTATCCTTCTATCTGTTGTTGCATATTTAGGTTTTTTCTACCTTTTGACTATTGTGCATAATGCTGTTCTGAATCTTGGTATATAAGAATGTGTTTGAGTCCCTGCTTTCAATTATTTATGACATATAACCAAAAGTGGAATTAGTGGATCATATGATAATTATATGTTTAACTCCTGGAAAAACTGCCAAGCTGTTTTCCACAGAAGCTTTATCATTTTTCATTAACACTAGCAATGCATAAGTGTTCCAGTTTCTCATCCTTGCTAACATTTACTTTCCTTTTTTTTAATAATAGTCATCCTAATTAGTATGAGGTGGTATTTCCTTGTGGTTTTGATTTACATTTCCCCAATGACTAGTGATGTTGATGATTTTGTTTATGTGCTTATTGGTCATTTGTTTATTTTTTGAAGAAAGGTCTACTCAAGTCCTCCCCCATTTAAAAAAAATTGGGTTATTTGTTTTTTATTGTTGAGTTTTAGGAGTTCTTTTTGTATTCTAGATACTAATTCCTTATCAAATACATAAATTATAAATATTTTCTCCCATTTCATGGATTTTCTGTTTATTTTCTTGATAGTGAATTTTGATGCCCCCAAGTTTTTAATATTGAGGAAGTCCAGTTTATTGATATTTGTTATGCTGCCTATGCTTTTAGGGTCATATGCAAGAAATTGTTGCCAAATCATGTCATGTGGATTTCTCTCTGTGGTTTTTTCCAAGAGATTTTATAATTTTAGCTCTTACATTTAGGTCTTTTGATGCATTTTGAGTTAATTTTTATTAATTTTATGTATAGTATCATGTAAGGGTCCAATTTGATTATTTTGAATATCAATATCCAGCTTTCCCAGCATCATTTGTTGAAAAGATTGTCTTTTCCCATTGAATTGTCTTGGCACTCTTGGTGAAAATCAATTAGCAATGTATGGGAGGGTTTACTTCTGAGCTCTCTATTCTATTTTATTGTTCTATATGTCTGTCTGTATGCTGGTACCGCACCATTTTGATTACTGTCAATTTATAATAACTTTTGAATTCATGAACTGTGAGAGTTCTGACTTTGTTTCTTTTTTTAAAGATTGTTTTAGCTGTTCAGGGTCCCTTGGAATTCCATATGAATTTTGGGATGGGTTTTTCTTTCTGCAAAAAAACACTCCTGGGATTTTGTTAGGGATTGCACTGAATCTGTTAATTACTTTGTGTGATATTGACATCTTATCAATATTAAGTCTTCCAATCCATAAACACATGATGTCTTGTCATTTATTTGTGTCTTCTTTAATTTATTTCCACAATGTTTTGTTGTTTACAGTGTATAAGTATTTGCCTTCTGATTAAATTTGTAACTATTTTATTCTTTTTGATGCCTTCTTAAGTGAAATTACCTTCTTAATTTTCTTTTTGGATTGTTCATTGTTAACATATAGACTATAACTGATTTTTGTGTGATGCTTTTGTATCCTGAAATGTTGCTGAATTCACTTATTAGGACTAACTTTTTTAAGTTAAAAAAGCTCTAGGGTTTTCTACAAATAACATCATGTCATCTGTTAACAGGGATAAATTTACTTCTTTTTTCCCAATTTTGATGTTTTTCATTTCTTTTTCTTGACTAATTGCTCTGGGTAGAACATTCAATACTCTTTTGAATGGAAGTGGTAAAGTAGGCATTCTGTTATTTTTCTAGACGGGCGCTTTAACCAGCTAAACCATGGTGCCAGCACAATTCTGTTCTATTTCATGATCTTAGAGAAAAAAAACTTTCAGCCTTTCTCAATTAGTATGATATTAGCTGCAAAGGGTCACATAAGGTCTTTATCATATCAAAGAGATGCCTTTCTATTTGTATTTTCTTGAGTGTGATTATTATTAAAGGGTGTTAAATTTTATCAAATGCTTTTTTCCTGCATCTTCCTGTGTCAAACCATCCTTGCATTCCAGAAATAAATTCCATCTGGTCATGGCATATAATCCTTTTAATGTGCTGTTAAATGCTCTTTGTTACTATTTTATTGATTACTTTTCATCAATATTGATATGGTTTGGCTATGTGTCCCCACCCAAATCTCATCTCAAATTGTAATCCCTGTGTATCAAGGAAGGGTCCTGGTGGGAGGTGATTGGATCATGAAGGTGATTCACCCATACTGTTCTCATGATAGAGTGAGTTACCATGAGCTCTGATGGTTTTATAAGTAGCAGTTTCCCCTGCCCTTTTCTCTCCTACTGACTTGTGAAGAAGTTGCCTGCTTCCCTTTCCACCATAATTGTAACTTTCCTGAGGCCTCCTAAGCCATGCAGAACTATAAGTCAGTTAAACCTCTTTTCTTTATGAATTACTCAGTCTCAGGGAAGTCTTCATAGCAGTGTGATAATGGACTAATACAAACATTCATAAGGGATATTGGTCTTACAGGTTTTCTGGCAAAGTAGGTAAGGGTCTGGTTGAGAAGAGAGTAATTAAGAAAGATTCCATCATTTGGGAATGGGGAAATTCAAAGAATGCATTTTTCAGTTATTGGGATAAAGAAACCATGAGAATGGGAAACAGAGGAAAGAATATGAAGAGTATAATTTGGACATCATAATTAAATTTAACTGTCAGATAGCCAAGAGGAGATACTGAATAGGTAATCAGATACAATAACTAGAGGACAGAATGTTAGTGCATTCTGGAGGTATAAATTTGTGGTCATAAGTACATATTATATTTCATCAAATCCAAAATACACATTTTCACAGGTTAAAAATCTCTGAAATTAGAATACATCCTATAACATGTGGCATGCCATAAACTAACTGACAGCAGTTTTTTCTTTGATAGGTGCTTAAAATAATGGTATATCTTACAGGTAGTAAAATTTTAGGTTTGAAACTATAGGGTAGACCGTACTTAAAACCATGAAATTAGATGAGCTCTTCAAGAGAATGACTGATTTTTTAAAAATCTAAGTTTAAGCCCTGTACACTCCAGACTTTAAGAGTCTGGAAGGTAACAAGAAGACCTAAAAGGAAAAACCATTGAGATAGGATGACAACAAAAAGAATCCAGTGTCCTGGAAGCCAAAAAATAATGTATCTTGGGAAGAAGGGCATGATTAACACTGTTAAATCCTAATGATATATTGCCTATAATGGGATTGGGAATTAGTAACTTTTACATCATGGGTGACCTTGATACAAATAGTATTAAGAATAATAAAAATTGAAGCCTTCTCAAAAGAGGAGGATGAAAGAGGAGAAGAGGAAAAAGTAGGGAGAGAATTTAGATAAAGAAGAAAGAGCAAAATAGAGGAAGAGAAGGAGGAGAGAAAAAAACATGTCCACAATTAATATTCACAAGTACTAAAGTTGAACTGACAAAATGTTGGCTGAGTAGTTGGCTGAGGAATGGTAGAGAGAAAAGTGTCTCGATAAGCCAAAATACAGAAAAGCAGTAGCTGAGAAATAGACCTGTTGGTCTTTGGGAATAGTGGTTGAGTATAGTCTATGTCTTTGCAGTGAACATGGACCCATAACTTGAATGGGATAAGAATGTTTTAGGGAGAAGAGATGCAGCAACAAGCAAACTTGTTGGTTTAGCAACATTTTAGCAGAGATTAAAAGGATGTTGTGAGTATTCACAGCACTGTAGGAAATACAAGATGATTGCTGCTAAAATAAGCACATATACCCAGTCATGGGAAGTATTAGATTAGAACAGAAAGGAATAGTTTCTGATTGCAAACAACTTGGTTGCAGTTAGAGTGTTGTGGTCAACACAGAGCTTTAAATGAATTCTGGAGAGGAAACTAATCATTCTTCTTTTGTGAATACTTTTAAAAGTAATTTTTACTGTTTGAAATTAAAGAAGCACATAGATGTTGGAATTCTTGGCAGGCGTCTTGCTGCTACAAGTACTGAGAATGGCACAAAGTAAGAAGAAAAATAAAATTGAGCCAGCGAATCAATCAACATTAAAGTTTGTTAAATTGTGAATGGTCTGAAAATATAAGCCAATACACAAGTGTCTTTATGGTTTGAAAGGTTGGAAAGGCTTTTCTATGACATGCAATTTGTCATAATATCAATCTTCATCCTTGTAATAGAAATAATTTAGCACATTCATGTTTTTCCTTCTAGCATTTTGTTTGGCTTATTTTGTCATCTTGTGTTATATTCTGTCTTTTTCATATGTCCTAACTATATATTTTGTTTTGTTTTATCTATAGATTTCTTAGAAGTGACAAGTTATCTGTTAAGACTTTATATTTTACAAGGATGAAATTCTTAAGAATTTATTTTACTGTCTTCCATCATGTAAAAACATGCAGTTACTTGGGTTATAGATATTCCACTTAAATATTTATATATTTTAATCTATTCCATTCTGCTCTTTTATATAACGGAATTGTGAGTCATGATGCAAATACTGCTATCTTTAGTTTCTCTTGCTGCATAGTTATAAAACAATGTCTGTGTACTATGTTTTCATAAACCATGTCAATGAATTTATTTTAATGACTTATTTATATAACTTCCTGTGCTGTTAATATTTTTCTGAATTGGATGCTGGAAATATCTCATCAAATTTTCAACTTTGACTATAGTTGAAGAAATTCCTGATAGATGGGATATACGTACTACCTTTCCACTATTTTAAGATAGAACATATCCTGTTTGTCTTGAGATATTTTTTCTTTGTTTTATAGACATTGATCATTTAAAAGAGATTTGATGGAAAGAATAGTCACGTTAAATTGATTTTGTCCATCTTACCAGAGATTCAATGTGATTTATATTAATTATGAATGGCACCTGGTGTTATTAGACAACCAGTGAAATGTACAGTATTTTTCCTGGATATTGTTCTTATCTAACAGCTATTGGCTTTATTTGTTTATTTACTTTTTTCAAAGTGCAGACTTTTGAATGAAGTTTATTATATTGTAGGTAAACATAGGATTCTTTATAAACATGATTTGACTGCAGTGCATATCACAGATATGTGTGATAGTATTATCAAAGCAGATTATTTTCTATTTCTGCTATAGTACAGCAACATCTTATTTCTCACTACCTCAGTCAGGAAGTAGGAAAAAGTGAAGCTGAGAATTGTGAAAATGGATGTAAAACATTCATACCAATTCTTTCACTTAAAAAAAATGATTTAAAAAAAGACCCTCCAGAGGCCCACTCAGAACCTATTTATGCTTATTATGAATACAGTTTGAACAACTTGTATATTTGATTTTTCTAGTCAGTGATTGGCTTTAGATTGGCCTTCTTTAAAATGGTCTGAGGCCTATTTTCTTGTTGTTTGTCTTTTTATGAACAGTGTATTTTTATGAACAGTGATGACCTTTCCATTATGAAATGATTATTTGTTATTAACAAATTTCAGACATAAATTCTTTAAATATCAACTTCACTTGTGTTTAAAATATAATTTATTTTTCTGGGTTTGTAAGTGAATGATGAAGAACATGTTAAGTAGCATAAATATAAAAACAGCAGGTCTACCATATTCCTGAAAATTAAATACTTCATTTTCTCTGTTTTATGCCATTTATGAATGCTCTAATGTAAGTTACAGTATCTTTAATTTTTTCTAAAGGCTAATGCTATATTTTATAATGGAAGTTTAGCTATAAATATCTGTATCTGTGGAATTATGCATGAATTAAAAGGCACAAATTAAAAATATTGTTTTGAATCTTAAAATATATCGGTAATGAAAGACAGTAAAATCTTAGAATATTTATGTTAGTCTTCGAGATATAGATAAATCATATACCCTTCAGCATTTAATGTGTTTCTCAATTTAAGAACTATATAGCTACCTATGTGCTATATATTAGAATACCTAACAAATTTTGCCTGATAACATCAATATTGGTTTTCTATAAATTTGAAGATAAAGGTAAATAAGTTCACACTTTGCTTCTAGTTATTTTTCTAGGACTATGGCCCAATATTTAAAGGAAAGTCAGCAAAATATAGCTAATAAGATAACATTATTAAATTATAAAACTTACATTGTTATATCATAACTAATTCAGCAATGAAACTGATTAAGTGCTAAGAGATAATGTTTTTAAGCTAATCTTTCCTACTTCCTAACTTTGAAGCTTGTATCTGAAACCTACAACTCTGTGACCCATGGCAGTGAATATTATTAACCTCTCTCAGAGCCTTATTGTTCTTATCTTGGAAAAGGAGATAATATTAGTTGTTTTGAAGGCTAAATGAGTTAATGTAGGATACTTGGAGTGGTTACAGGCACACAGTACATAAAAAACAGTCAGCATTTTATCTTGCTGATCCTGATGCAGTATATTTTCCACTTTTTTTTTTTTTTTTTTTTTGAGACACCAGGGTGCAGTGCAATGGCATAATCTCGGCTCACTACAACCTCCGCCTCCTGGGTTCAAGCAATTCTCCTGCCTCAGCTTCCCAAATAGATGGGACTACAGGCATGTGCCACCACGCCTGGCTATTTTTTTTTTTGTATTTTTAGTAGAGACAGGGTTTCACCATGTTAGCCAGGATGGTTTCGAACTCCTGACCTCGTGATCCGCCTGCCTCAGCCTCCCAAAGTGTTGGGATTACAGGTGTGAGCCACCGCACATGGCATATTTTCCACTTTTACAAATACAGGTCCATGGAATTATTTGTTGAAGGTTTCACATCTCACATGTGACATATTTAGCATTTTCAACAAGATGTGTTTGAAACAGAATTTGTTTGGTTTGTGGTGCCTTTTAAGGGCTGTTGCATGCTATTAATGAATCTGAAAGGCAAGAAAAGCTGTAAGAAGAAAGAGAAGTCAAACACCTGAAAAACCCACAAATTGAGTAACCCCTTTCTGAAGAATCAAAGTGACTATGAGTTGTACTTGAGAAAAGACTTCCGGTCAGTGGATTTGGTGTGTCAGTCCTGAAAAAAACTTTTTGTAAGAAACTCATGTTGGGCTTATTTGTGGAATTATATTTTAAAATATGCCATTTGAATTGTGGCATCTTGCTGTTAGAGATTTGTACAAGAGAAATAAATACAGTTTGAGAAGAATATTATTGATGGTAACATAATGACGAGAAGGATTTAAGCATCTTTGCTCTAAACCACAAATACCTATAGCTATTCCACTTAACAGAAAATAAGTGCACGCGTGTATGTGTGGCTAATCAGCCAGTTCTTTCCCACAAATTTAAATGCAGTACCTGTCCCATAGCATTTAAGGCAGCTGTAGATATACAATTTAAGTGCTTTAATCTATTCTTCCGTTTTTCTTGTCGATTCCCCAATAGAACAGCCTACTTAGCTTTTTTTCTCCCATGTATGTTTGAAGATTAATATATAGTATGAGAAAAGGCAGCTTTTAAATTTCAGGTTCTGCTCTGCGTTTCCAAAGGATAATTGTTCACCTTATTGCATTTGTGTTTTAATTTTGTTTAACACCAAATAAGGGATAAAAGATTTCAAAAGAGTTACCTTAATCCGAATTCTTATTAAAAATACTTTTGAGCCAGGCACAGTGGCTCATGCCTGTAATCCCAGCACTTTGGGAGGCCACGGCGGGTGAATCATGAGGTCAGGAGTTTGAGAGGAGCCTGACCAACAGTTTCTACTAAAAATACAAAAATTAGCCGGGTCTGGTGGCGCGTGCCTGTAATCCCAGCTACTCGGGAGGCGGAGGCAGGAGAATCGTTTGAACCCGGCAGGTGGAGGTTGCAGTGAGCCGAGATCGCGCCACTGCACTCCAGCCTGGGTGACAAAGTGAGACTCCATCTCAAAAAAAATAATAATAAAAATTACTTTTATGCTCTTGCAATTAAAATCAAGAAATTTTAATTTCCTCTATACTTATAGAAACTGCCCAAAAGTTACTATTAAAAAATGAATATTTTCATAAGAGGCATATCTGGTTTCTCCAGGTGAAACTTTTAAAACTTAATAGAGAAACTTTTAATTTTATTTCTTTCTTCCATATTTAAAATATATAACATCATATATATGATGTGTATATATATAGATAGATACGGTATGTGTATATACACACACACACAAAAGATGCTACATATTACAATTGTTACATATGCATATAAACTTAAAAATGTGGTACAACATTTTATTTAATGGTATGAACACTGACATTTTAATCTTGTAAGTCAGTAAACATTTCAAATCTTGTGTTACATCATTTTTTAAACTAATAATGTTCTTATATGAACATTTTGATTTACCCCATATTTTGTTATTAAAAATAATGTTGCAATTAGTTTTGTGCTATCATGAAAAAAGAAATTCACATATATTAGTAGTAATTATTTGCATGTATTTAATTATTGATTTGATTGCACAGATTTTTGCATGTTATCCTTTTAACTTTCCACTCATATCTTCAACATATTTTTCCCTGGAGCACTAGTTTTGTTTTTTGTTAAAAGCTCCTTATATATTAAGGCAACCACACTCTATCTTAAGAACTAAATATGGCATAAATTAAAACACAAGCCAAATAAAAGCCAGAATTCATTTTTAATCCTCATATGTGTTCAAGACATATTTTATCTCTAGTTTACTATTGGCCTTTAATTGTGTTTGTTATGTTAATTGACATAAAGGTTTTTTTGCATAGTCAAGACACATACTTTTTTATGGCTTCTTTTGTATATTTTATATTTGGAAGGTTATATTCTAAGTCAATGCTTAAGAAGAAAATATCTTTCTTATGATTAGATTTCATTGATTTCACTTTCATATAGGTCTTACAGTTTAATGAACTCATGGAAATGTTCATTGGCTTAGTAATAGTAGCAGTAAACGCTTTTTTTAATGCTACTTTCATAAGATCATAAGGAGATAATAGTGGGTGGGTGATTACTTGAAACTGATTTTTGGAGAAGTTCATTAATTAAATATTCATTCATTAATTAAAGAAACAATGTATGTCAATAGTACTTTCTAAACTTTAGATCACTCTTTAAATGTTAGTTGCCATTATTATTAATACTAAATGTTCTTCCTTTTTTTATCTTCTCGTGTCACTAGCCACGAATGTCTGTAGCACTAAATTGTAATTCCCTTCTGTAATCTGATTGAAGAGAAAAGCTGTAGAAGAGTAGTGGAAGGGAGTATCAAGTATTTGTGGCAGGGCTTATTTTACTTAATCCTTTGGAATATACAAGTGTATAGGTTATCCAGGTTAAATATTTTACATTATTAAATAGTTTCTGTTATTTTGCTTTTCTACATGTAATACTTTTTTTGAAGGGGAAAACTCAATGAAGTATGTACCTGATTTACCATTCAAAATTCTTGTCTGTTGATGTCTTAACATGTGTTTATCACCTTTGTTATTGATAGGCAAAATACAAGTTACTAGTAGATATAGATTGAATTTAATTAAAAATAAAATAATGTATTTTACATATTAAATAACCCAAATATAATAATGAAAATTTTCCAACAATGATAATAATCAATATTTTAAAATAAACTGTATTTATACTGAAAATTATAGTTAGTTGATTTTATAATCTTTAAATAACTTTTACATATTTAACCTGAAAACGAACAATTTCAAGCTTTTTCTGGTATTAATATATAAGAGTTAAAGTAAGTCTGTTGAAACTCTATTAACTGCTACCTGTAAAAATTAACCAATCATTAAATAAAGGATCACTTTGCATTAGTATAATTTTGACATAATGAAGAGGCAGTATTTTTTAACTTTTTTTAACTTCCTAGAAAACAAAGTATATATATATATATATATATATATATATATATATATATATATATGGCTATATGTCCTATATTGCAGCTCAACAACAAGCATATAAAACCTATTTGACAAAGTTTAATGTGAGAAGTTATTGTTTCCATCCTATTTTTCTCTCCTATTTCCAAAGGTTCAGCCTTCCCTATGAATCTAAGAATGTAGTTAATGTCTGAGGTCTCTTTATCTGGCGAAAAAGCCTCTGTCCTAAGAAAATACCTAAAGTGTAATTTAAAAAAAATAAAAATAAAAAACATACCAAGGGTAACCCCTCACCTTTAAGGGGTAAATGTGTGTTATCTTTTCAATTATTGTTCATGAAGCAATTACTTTCCCTACAGCACTCTGTGAAATCAGGAACATTTGCAATCCAAACAGGAGTTTGCAAAATGCTGTTCCTCGACCAGGTAGGCAGATATGATAAATGGTGTGCCAAAAGTTTTTCTCCTAATGCAGCAACTTCACATAATTTGGATTTTCTAAACTTAGTATTATTTATATTAATGTATTATACACAATGATGTTAATTATTTAATGTTATACATATTACAATATCTGCCGTGTGCTTTCTCTAATGAATATTTTTGTCCCAAGGATCTGAGTCCTTGGTAAACAGGAAGTGCTCAGTATATAATTTTTGAATGAAATACTTAAACATTTGGAAATTTTAGAAAAATGGTATTATCTTATTTATATAGATACCAATCTTTTATTCAGCACATTCATGCTTTTCAGTTAGACTTTTTAAGAGCCGCAGAGCATATACCGGTTTTAAGCCTCAGTCACACAAAAAAACTTTTCTTAAATATAAGTAATCCACCAGTAATTAAATATCTTCTTATCTCCTTGGCCTACCTCTCTTAAGGAGGAGGAAAGAAAAAGATCATGAGTATGCCAAGATGTAGCTTGCCATGAGCTCACTGATTACTTCAGGCTGACACTCACCCAGATATAAGTCTTCTTCACTAAGTCACAGGAATCCAACTTGCCAGCATCCTGATGAAGTAGTCACAGAAAGTAGAGCTAGAGCTACGAAAGCTGTAGAATTTCTTCCTGGGGAACGTATTTTACTACAGTGTATAAGCCATGACTAAAAATTTGACATTTATTTTGTAGGTGAATGAATGCTTTTAAAGGAAATTTAAACAAGAGAATAAAAAAAGGCTGGATTGGTGTTTTAGAGAAGTCCATCTTTATGACTGTATTGTGGAAAATGAGTTTGAATGATATAAGACACTAAATAATGAGGCCAATCATTGGGGAAAAACACAAAAAGAAAATGAGGACTGGACTGAAGCAGAAGCATTAGAAAAAGAACAAATGGGATGGATTTGCCTTGGTAGTAACAGGAGTGAAAGCCCATAGCAAGCCTCAGGTGCTGGGTCTGCTTATTATATGCATGTAAGCAAAGGCAAGCAGCATGGGGAAGACGATCAATGGGGTAGAGAAGTTTCATTTTGCAGTCTTTTTAGAGTTTTCTGCATTGTAGACACTGTGGACAATAGTGGATGTAAAAATAAAAAAAATAAGAATCACAAGTAATCTCACTATCCAGAGAAAATTTCTATTTTTCATGGGATGCATGTATTTAAAATCATATTCTATGCATATCAATGTTTTAAATTAAATTGTGATCATGCTACATAGTCTTATAAACTTCTCTTTCCACTTAAATTATATCATAAACATTGTATTAGTCAGCACTAGTTGCCATAAGAAAATACCATAAACAGAGATGCATGAACAGCAGAAATTTGTTTTCTCACAGTTCTGGAGGTTAGATGTCCAAGATCAAAGAGCCAGCATGAACATGATGGCTGTCTTCCTGATTTGCAGATGGATCCCTTTTTTCTGTGTCCTCATGTGACAGGGACGGGTAGAAAGAGGGAAATGGGGAAGAGGGAGTGAAAGAAATAAAGAAAGAGAACAGAAGCCCGTATATCTTCTCCAAATACCATCACATTGGGGGTTAGGAGTTAACATATAAATTTGGGGGGACATGAACATCCAGTTTATAGCAAATATTTTAGTTAATGAGAATATTCTAATTTAGGTCATTAGTTAAAGTCATTATAGAAAACTTCAGAAGGCAGGGGGTAATTGCTTATTTTATTCAGAAACTAAAGATAGGAATAAGAACTAATTAAAATATGTGTATACCAAAAGTAGGACTCTTTTTCTGTGGGAGAAAGTTAGTGACTCCCTTGGAGGAAGTTACTTCTTAAATCCAGTCGGCCAAATATAACGACAAACATATGTAGTCAAACACACTGAATTTTATTAGTATGCTTCATTCAGCAAGGGAAAATGATATCATAGGAACTATGCAGTATTTCAGAAGGAGTACTCCAAGAACAATAATTTGCAAGATTTGGAGGGAAGAGAACAGGAGTTAATCTTAGTTAAAACGTAAGTTTTCAGGAATGGCTCGAATTTGCAATATAGGTGAGTTGGTGCTTTAGTTACTTTATTTTAGAACTCATGGGTCTTTTTTAATGGTTTATTTATTCATTTATTTACTTTTTTAACTTTTATTTTGACTTCAGAGGTGCACCTATGACTATATGATCTTCAACAAACCTGACAAAAACAAGCAGTGGAGACACATACCATGATGATTGCACTTATTAGCTGTGAAAGAAAGCTGTTTGTATTTATATCTTAAAAACAAGAAAATAGATATCTAGAAAATTTAAATAACTTGTCCCAGTTTCCTCAGCCAAATATTAGCAGAGACAGAATGTCTTCCAAATATTATTAATTCCAAAGTTAGACATTTTAAGGTTTATATCATACAATGTAATAAGATAACATTTCCATCAAGGTGCTAGCAACCAAAGTCAATATAAAATGCCAATATTCCATATCAGCAGTGTTTGTAAAATTTATATATACTTATGATAAAACGATGACTGGTTTAATTTGAAAATCCCAAAATTGTTTGGTTCATACAACTTTAAAATCACTGATTTCATAATAAGAATGTGTGGCTGACTGCCATGGTTACTGCTTGAGACCATCACTAAGACAGTTACTACTGTTACTACTTGAGACCATCATTACAACAGTTAGTACTGTTACTACTTGACGCTGGTCATTACAAGACTGAAGGAAGGGACAAACGTAGAAATGAGAACCTAAGACAAAATAAACTATTTTAAAGGAAGGGTCCAGGATAAGAAGAAGAGGGCTCCCTGCTTCTAGTGAGCAAAGACAGCCACCCTGAGCTTCTACAGCCCTTCGTATTTATTGGGTAGAAAGAGCAGGGAGCAGGAGGTAACTATTGGTCAGCTGCTTAATTAATCACAGGTTCACATTATTGCTAACAGGCTTCAGATGTGCCTAATCATGAAAAACACTTGTGCATGGGTTGTGACTGCCCTCAGCATTCCTTCTGGGTACCAGATGCAGTTTGCCAGTTTGCTAACAACCTGCGTTTATGAGGACAGTTTGCTGTTTACTCATATAGCCTCCAGTGGTATACTGAGTTGATCGTGACCCTCACTGTTTCGGCCTCCAACAAGAATGTATGTATATATCTACATCTCAAAAAAAGAAATATTTTGGGAGATTGGGCAATATAAAATTAAATTAAGATCCTGTATTTTTCTTTTACAAAACTGTAATGAGAGCAACAAGCAGAATAAATGGTATTTCCAGAGGTGGGTAGAGAAGATATGTGATCTTACATTATTGAGGGCAGTGAATAGCTTGCAATGACTAATGATTTTTATAAAACCACCTGAAAGCACTAAAGTATGAATTAAAATGTCTAAAGTTTGATTCAATGTCACATTTCAGAGCTGAATGTATGACTTTAATTGGATTGTGCTTAGTTATGGAAACTATAATCTACATCACTCAGAACAAGCAAAGTTAACATAACACATCTTTTTATTAAAATCAGTTGTGAAATGTGAGTAAAAGAATGACAACCTCAAATCTGCAAACCTTTTAGTTCTCAAAAATGCTTTATGTATGAAAGCAAATGGTTATTTGAAATAGCAGCATGGGAGGTACATTGTAATTGGAATCTATTTCCTTCAGTAATCCTTGGGGTTTCATAGGATTTGTAGGAAATATCTCATGTTACAGAACTGTAACATGAGTGTCAGAAGATTATCTAGTATATCATTTTGCTCACCTATATCAATCTCAGAATGTTATCCAGATGACACATTTATCAGCCATCTCCAAACTCAGCATTCCTCCAACTGGAAAAATGATGTTTAGAACACACCTAGTTGACACACAGCCTTCCTTTGTAGCCTTCTTTCTAGGGACCATGACCTTGGTAAAAGGCCATTTGATTGTTGGGCAAGGCTAACAAAAAGTAGTTAGATACAAACAAAAATCATTCTTTTAACTACTGTAGTCTAAGGCCATTTTGTTTGTTTATGAATTGTCAATGATACCTGAGAAAGAAATTTCAGCAGTAGTAATCCTATAATAGAGAAGTTCTCAACTGGGACAACAGCTCCCTCTTAAATTTCTTTGGAAATCTTTAGGAGACTTGTTATTTGTCACAATGATTATGATGCATTAATGACATTTTGTGATTAGGGACCAAAGATGTCAGACAGATGCAAAAGGCAGAATATTTCTGTACATGGAATAATTGACCCATGCCCCACAACATTTTTCATTGTCCTATTGGACATTCATTTAGATAATCAAAACATTAATAATTATATAAGCCTTAATTCTAACATTTATAATCACAAAATAATTTCTCATGGCTTAATATACACAGAATTCCCCAGGCAATATAATAAACCACTAAGTAGTTGTAAAAATAAAGAGAAGAAAAATCTATGTCGTCATATATTCAACATTTGTTTTGTATGTAAAAGCTAGTTGAAGAATAGTGTAAATATTAGACTCCATTTTATGTAAAAAGATGGTTAAATAAGAATATATACTTATTTTCATGTATATACACACATATACATATGTATATAAAAAATACTGGAAGAATATACAAAAAACTAAGAAGTATTACCTATGGATAAGCATGAAGGGTGACTCAGCAAATAAATGACAGTGGCAATGAGAGAAAATCATAAATAAAAAAATAAACGTGTATAGATTTATGAAACACATGAGTGCATTGCCTGTTAAGTATTAAATAAAGGCAATATGCATCAACAACCTATCTTTATGTTTGTTTTGTTTCAATATCTTACTGGGTTTTCTAAAAGTAATAATAAATATTAGGCTTATATCAGACTTCTCAGTAATACTGAATTCCATAAGAGCAATTTCTGTAGCATTTCAATGAAAAGTAGTTAACCCCCAAATGTTTGCTTATTTAAGCATTCTCTTACATGTGAAAGCAATAAAAATAAAATATTCATTGCTATTCAACAGCTTAAAAATATGATTTCTAAGAAAACAAAAATAATTTTAACTATTTTCAAGAGGTAAAGCAAAATAGGAATTCAAAAAGAGAGAAGACATAATTTATATGGCATTATTTTTATTACACCACCAATTTATGCCAAGTTAATGGTAGACAGTAACATTAGAAATCCAAATAATCCAGATTTGACTCTTCATGTACTTTTACAGAGAGTGATCTAGTAAAACTCATTCAATTTTGGGGGGCCTCAATTAATTTCATTAATGTCGTTAAGATGACAGTTATTTTGTACTTATGTTTTTAGAATATAATAAAATATTTGTTAAAGGATTTTAAAATCTGTTGGGTAATGTCTTTATAGCATTTTTATACCATCCTCTCCATCTCTACTCCCAATATATTTCTAACTCATTTTCTCTGCCTATGATACAAAGTTTTACCCTTCCTAGTTAGTAATATTTTCTATACCTTGGAAAGCTCATCTCAAATTCTGCCTACCTAATTTTTCCTGATGAAATTAGACATCATTAATGAATTGCAACTGACTTTTAAATATTATCTGAAATTATGCCATCACATTATTATACATTAGTTTATTATGAATGCATTAATATATGTGATCCATTTATTACTTTGCTATAATTATACAAAAAAAATGCCCATAAAATGTGTTATTGATGTGGACAAAAATGTATGACATAATATGTAGAGACAATAAAGTGTTAAAATAGTTTAATTAGAATATTTTCAATTATGTTAAAATACATCACTGTGATATTCTTTCCAATAATTTATCGCCTCCATCTTATTGTGACAAAAGAGTAGGTAAAACCAAACTGAGAGCCATTCATCATAGTATTTAACCAACAATCTTCAAAAGTGTCAAGGTTATGAATGACAAGTAAAGACTGAGGAAAATTACAGACTGCAGGAGATTAAGAAAAAATAATGACCAAATAGTCCTGGAACCAAAATAAAACATTAATGAAAAAATACTGATGTCATGTAAATAATATATGTAGCTTTGTTAATGACATCATAACATTAATTCATATTTTTAATTATTGTACACTGGTTATGTAAGATGTTAATATTAGGGGAATCTGAGTGATGTGTATAAAGACATTTTCTGCACTATGTTTGAAACTCTTCCTTAATTATAAAAATGTTTCATATTAATAAGTTGAACAAATAATAGTTTAGAAAATTTAAAACTATATTAGCAATACTGAAGGTAAATGCTTAATATTAGTTTTTATTTAACTAATAGTGGAATTGGTGGTGATTTCTCCTTACAACATTACAGATACCATATTTTCAAATATTAATTAGCATTAATTAAATGATCAAGATATATTAATAGGTGAAAAAATAAAAATAAGAAGTGTCATGTGCAAAATAACACTGTAGTTACCACCCTCATGTACTCATGCCTATAGGAAAAGATTGCCTGAAACCATTCCAGTATCTTATACATTGTATTTAGTTGTCAGGATCCTTGATTTTTTTTATGCTTGCAGTGTCCTTTGTTTGACTGCTAACTGTTGAAGAAACTAAACTAGTTGGCCTAAAAGTCTCTTTTTCAATTATGAAGAGGAGAAATACTGAACTAACATCACCATGACATTCCTAACTGCATTAAGGTGAAGACATTATAGATAATTTTCTATTCGTTTTTGAAAATGTATAGTTCGTTTTCAAAGTCAATTGTTTCAAAATTACTATAATCAAATAACCTCACCCTGTTGAGTTTCTCTTAGTTTAAGTACTTCTGAAGAATTTTTCAATATTCCATATTCTCCGTTAAAATACCATATCTATGTTCCTCCATTTTATATTCATCCTGAAATATTTAATTACTTTCCTCTGTCAGCTTTGTGAATTTTCAAGATGAATAATTTCTTGTTTAACTGTTGATATCCTCCATCTTTTCTCCATTTCTTCTGGGTAAGGCACATATTGTCCTTACCATAATAATAATTTCCACTAATTGTGGTGATTTCCACAGGATCATTCTGGCAATTTTGTTGAATTTTCTCATTTATATATTACTCTGTACATGGGTGCATGGGTGCCTGAGGACTGGATCAGGCCTCTATACCTGTTTTCAGCTATGTTACTTCTGAGGATTTTCAGACATCTCCATATCGGTTATGTTTATTGTCATAATATTTTAGTTTTACCAGGATTTTTTCTTATCCTTAAATGTCATTTTTAGCACCCATATATAGTATTCAGCATTTTACAAATTCACTTATTTTAATTTCCTTAAGACTTCATAAGATAAATGCCACTCCTTTTCTCTATCCTATCAGAAAGGTCTGGTCTTCTAGAGATAAATCAAATCATGCTTGACACTTTGAAATTAACCCAACTATTCATTTTCAGTATTCTCCCAGACGCAAAGTCTATAAACTTTAATGAAGAAGAAATAAGAAAAGTAAATATCTGGGCTCTTAACATTTCCATACATTCCAAGTATACACCCATACTCCAATTATGTTGTAACAAATGAACCACAGCAATCAGCAACAGTCAGAAAAATTAATCTTTGCATACTCAGCTGGGCATTCAGTTATTTTTTTTTCTTGATGATTTTTTTTATTATACTTTGAGCTCTAGGGTACATGTGTACAACGTGTAGGTTAGTTACATATGTATACATGCACCATGTTGGTGTGCTGCACCCGTTAACTCGTCATTTACATTAGGTATATCTCCTAATGCTATCCCCCTCCTTCCCCCACCCCACAACAGGCCCTGGTGTGTGATGTTCCCCTTCCTGTGTCCAGGTGTTCTCACTGTTCAATTCTGACATATGAGTGTGAATATGTGGTGTTTGGTTCTTTGTCCTTGTGATGGTTTCCTGAGAATGATGGTTTCCAGCTTCATCCAGGTCCCTACAAAGGACATGAACTCATCATTTTTTATGGCTGCATTGTATTCCATGGTGTATATGTACCACATTTTCTTAATTCAGTCTATCATTGATGGACATTTGGGTTGGTTCCAAGTCTTTGCTATTGTGAATAGTGCCACAATAAACATACGTGTGCATATGTCCTTATAGCAGCATGATTTATAATCCTTTGGGTATATACCCAGTAATGGGATGGCTGGGTCAAATGTTATTTCTAGTTCTAGATCCTTGAGGAATGGCCACACTGTCTTCCACAATGGTTGAACTAGTTTAGAGTCCCACCAACAGTGTAAAAGTGTTCCTATTTCTCCACATCCTCTCCAGCACTTGTTGTTTCCTGACTTTTTAATGATCGCCATTCTAACTGGTGTGAGATGGTATCTCATTGTGGTTTTGATTTGCATTTCTCTGATGGCCAGTGATGATGAGCATTTTTTCATGTGTCTTTTGGCTGCATAAATATCTTCTTTTGAGAAGTGTCTGTTCATATCCTTTGCCCACTTTTTGATGGGGTTGTTTGTTTTTTTCTTGTAAATTTGTTGGAGTTGTTTGTAGATTCTGGATATTAGCCCTTTGTCAGATGAGTAGATTGCAAAAATTTTCTCCCATACTCTAGGTTGCCTGTTCACTCTGATGTTAGTTTCTTTTGCTGTGCAGAAGCTCTTTAGTTTAATTAGATCCCATTTGTCAATGTTGGCTTTTGTTGTCATTGCTTTTGGTGTTTTAGACATGAAGTCCTTGCCCATACCTAAGTCCTGAATGGTATTGCCTAGGTTTTCTTGTAGGGTATTTATGGTTTTAGGTCTAACATGTAAGTCTTTAATCCATCTTGAATTAATTTTTGTATAAGGTGTAAGGAAGGGATCCAGTTTCAGCTTTCTACATATGGCTAGCCAGTTTAACCAGCACCATTTATTAAATAGGGAATCCTTTCCCCACTTCTTGTTTTTGTCAGGTTTGTCAAAGAACAGATGGTTGTAGATGTGTGGTATTATTTCTGAGGACTCCGTTCTGTTCCACTGGTCTATATCTCTGTTTTGGTGCCAGTACACTGCTGTTTTGGTTACTGTAGCCTTGTAGTATAGTTTGAAGTCAGGTAACATGATGCCTCCAGCTTTGTTCTTTTGGCTTAGGATTGTCTTGGCAATGTGGGCACGTTTTTGGTTCCATATGAACTTTAAAGTAGTTTTTTCCAATTCTGTGAAGAAAGTCACTGGTAGCTTGATGGGGATGGCATTGAATCCATAAATTACCTTGGGTGGTATGGCCGTTTTCATGATATTGATTCTTCCTGTCCATAAGAATGGAATGTTCTTCCATTTGTTTGTGTCCTCTTTTATTTCATTGAGCAGTGGTTTGTAGTTCTCCTTGAAGAGGTCTTTCACATCCATTGTAAGTTGCATTCCTAGGTACTTTATTCTCTTTGAAGCAATTGTGAATGGGAGTTCACTCATGATTTGGCTCTCTGTTTGTCTGTTATTGGTGTATAAGAATGCTTGTGATTTTTGCACATTGATTTCATATCCTGAGATTTTGCTGAAGTTGCTTATCAGCTTAAGGAGATTTGGGCTGAGATGATGGGGTCTTCTAAATATACAATCATGTCATCTGCAAACAGGGACAATTTGGCTTCCTCTTTTCCTAATTGAATACTCTTTATTTCTTTCTCTTGCCTGATTGCCCTGGCCAGAACTTCCAACACTATGTCGAGTAGGAGTGGTGAGAGAGGGCATCCCTGTCTTGTGCCCGTTTTCAAAGGGAATGCTTCCAGTTTTTGCCCATTCACTATGATATTGGCTGTGGGTGTGTCATAAATAGCTCTTATTATTTTAAGATACATCCCATCAATACCTAATTTATTGAGAGTTTTTAGCATGAAGGGCTGTTGAATTTTGTCAAAGGCCTTTGCTGCATCTATTGAGATAATCATGTGGTTTTTGTTTTTGGTTCGTTTATATGCTGGATTACATTTATTGATTTGCATACGTTGAAGCAGCCTTGCATCCCAGGGATGAAGCCCACTTGATCATGGTGGATAAGTTTTTTGAAGTGCTGCTGGATTTGGTTTGCCAGGATTTTACTGAGGATTATTGCATCGATATTCATCAGGGATATTGGTCTAAAATTCTCCTTTTTTGTTGTGTCTCTGCCAGGCTTTGGTATCAGGATGATGCTGGCCTCATAAAATGAGTTACGGAGGATTCCCTCTTTTTCTATTGAATGGAATAGTTTGAGAAGGAATGGTACCAGCTCCTCCTTGTACCTCTGGTAGAATTCAGCTGTGAATCCATGTGGTCCTGGACTTTTTTTGGTTGGTAGGCTATTAATTATTGCCTCAATTTCAGAGCCTGTTATTGGTCTATTCAGGGATTCAACTTCTTCCTGGTTTAGTCTTGGCAGGGTTTATGTGTCGAGGAATTTATCCATTTCTTCTAGATTTTCTAGTTTATTTGCTTAGAGGTGGTTATAGTATTCTCTGATGGTAGTTTGTATTTCTGTGGGATCGGTGGTGATATCCCCTTTATCATTTTTTATTGTGTCTATTTGATTCTTCTCTCTTTTCTTCTTTGTTAGTCTTGCTAGTGGTCTATCAATTTTGTTGATCTTTTCAAAAAACCAGCTCCTGGATTCAATGATTTTTTGAAGGGTTTTTTATGTCTCTATCTCCTTCAGTTCTGCTCTGACCTTAGTTATTTCTTGCCTTCTGCTAGCTTTTGAATGTGTTTGCTCTTGCTTCTCTAGTTCTTTTAATTGTGATGTTAGAGTGTCAATTTTAGATCTTTCCTGCTTTCTCTTGTGGGCATTCAGTGCCCTAAATTTCCCTCTACACACTGCTTTAAATGTGTCCCAGAGATTCTGGTGTGTTGTGTCTTTGTTCTCGTTGGTTTCAAAAAACATCTTTATTTCTGCCTTCATTTCGTTATGTACCCAGTAGTTATTCAGGAGCAGGTTGTTCAGTTTCCATGTAGTTGAGTGGTTTTGAGTGAGTTTCTTAATCCTGAGTTCTAGTTTGATTGCACTGTGGTCTGAGAGACAGTTTGTTATAATTTCTGTTCTTTTGCATTTGCTCAGGAGTGCTTTACTTCCAACTATGTGGTCAGTTTTGGACTAAGTGTAGTGTGGTGCTGAGAAGAATGTATATTCTGTTGATTTGGGGTGGAGAGTTCTGTAGATGTCTATTAGGTCTGCTTGGTGCAGAGCTGAGTACAATTCCTGGATATGCTTGTTAACTTTCTGTCTCATTGATCTGTCTAGTATTGACAGTGGGGTGTTAAAATCTCCCATTATTATTGTGTGGGAGTCTAAGTCTCTTTGTAGGTCTCTAAGGACTTGCTTTATGAATCTGGGTGCTCCAGTATTGGGTGCATATATATTTAGGATAGTTAGCTCTTCTTGTTGAATTGATCCCTTTACCGTTATCTGATAGCCTTCTTTGTGTCTTTTGATCTTTGTTAGTTTAAAGTCTGTTTTATCAGAGACTAGGATTGCAACCCCTGCCATTTTTTTGTTTTCCATTTGCTTGGTAGATCTTCCTCCATCCCTTTATTTTGAGCCTATGTGTGTGTCTGCATGTGAGATGGGTCTCCTGAATACAGCACACTGTTGGGTCTTGATTCTTTATCCAATTTGCCAGTCTGTGTCTTTTAATTGGAGCATTTAACCCATTTACATTTAAGGTTAATATTGTTATGTGTGAATTTGATCCTGTCATTATGATGTTAGCTGGTTATTTTGCTAATTAGTTGATGCAGTTTCTTCCTAGCATCGATGGTCTTTACAATTTGCCCTGTTTTTGCAGTGGCTTGTACCAGTTGTTCCTTTCCATGTTTAGTGCTTCCTTCAGGAGCTCTTTTAGGGCAGGCCTGGTGGTGACAAAATCTCTCAGCATTTGCTTGTCTGTAAAGGATTTTATTTCTCCTTCACTTATGAAGCTTAGTTTGACTTGATATGAAATTCTGGGTTGAAAATTCTTTTCTTTAAGAATGTTGAATATTGGCCCCCACTCTCTTCTGGCTTGTAGAGTTTCTGCTGAGAGATCCACTGTTTGTCTGATGGTCTTCCCTTTGTGGGTAACCCGACCTTTCTCTCTGGCTGCCCTTAACATTTTTTCCTTCATTTCAACTTTGGTGAATCTGACAATTATGTGTCTTGGAGTTGCTCTTCTCGGGGAGTATCTTTTTGGCATTCTCTGTATTTCCTGAATATGAATGTTGGCCAGCCTTGCTAGGTTGGGGAAGTTCTCCTGGATAATATCCTGCAGCGTGTTTTCCAGCTTGGTTCCATTTTCCCCGTAACTTTCAGGTACACCATTCTTTTTACTCTTTTTTCTCTAAACTTCTCTTCTCACTTCATTTCATTCATTTGATCTTCAATCACTGATACCCTTTCTTCCAGTTGATCGAATTGGCTAATGAAGCTTGTGCATTCATCACGTATTTCTCATGCCATGGTTTTCAGCTCCATCAGGTCCTTTGAGGACTTCTCTGCATTGGTTATTCTAGTTAGCCATTCATGTAATCTTTTTCAAAGTTTTTAGCTTCTTTTCAATGGGTTTGAACTTCCTCCTTTAGCTCAGAGAAGTTTGATCATCTGAAGCCTTCTTCTCTCAACTCATCAAAATCATTCTCCATCCAGCTTTGTTCCGTTGCTGGCGAGGAGCTATGTTCCTTTGGAGAGGGAGAGGTGCTCTGATTTTTAGAATTTTCAGTTTTTCTGCTTTGTTTTTTCCCCATCTTTGTGGTTTTATCCACCTTTGGTCTTTGATGATGGTGATGTACAGATGGGGTTTTGGTGTGGATGTCCTTTCTGTTTGTCAGTTTTCCTTCTAACAGTCAGGACACTCAGCTGCAGGTCTGTTGGAGTTTGTTGGAGGTCCACTCCAGATCCTGTTTTCCCGGGTATCAGCAGCGGAGGCTGCATAACAGAGAATATTGCTGAACAGTAAATGTTGCTGCCTGATCATTCCTCTGGAAGCTTTTTCTCAGAGGGGTAGCTGGCTGTGTGGGGTGTCAGTCTGCCCCTACTTGGTGGTGCCTCCCAGTTAGGCTACTCGGGGGTCAGGGACCCACTTGAGGAGGCAGTCTGTCCATTCTCAGATCTCAAACTCCCTGCTGGGAGAACCACTCTCTTCAAAGCTGTCAGACAGGGACATTTAAGTCTGCAGAGGTTTCTGCTCCTCTTGTTCGGCTATGCCCTGCCCCCAGAGGTGGAGTCTACAGAGGCAGGCAGGCCTCCTTGAGCTGTGGTGGGCTCCACCCAGTTTGAGCTTCCAGGCCACTTTGTTTATCTACTCAAGCCTCAGTGATGGCGGGAACCCCTCCCCCAGCCTCACTGCTGCCTTGCAGTTCTATCTCAGACTGCTGTGGTAGCAATGAACGAGGCTCCGTGGGTGTGGGACCCTCCAAGCCAGGCGTGGGATATAATCTCCTGGTGTGCGGCTTGCTAAGACTGTTGGAAAAGTGCAGTAATAGGGTGGGAGTGACCCAGTTTTCCAGGTGCCGTCTGTCACAGCTTCCCTTTTCTAGGAAAGGGAATTCCCTGACCCATGCGCTTCCCAGGTGAGGCGATGCCTCGCCCTGCTTAGGGTCACACTCGGTGGGCTGCACCCACTGTCCTGCACCCACTGTCCAAGAAGTCCCAATGAGATGAACCTGGTACCTCAGTTGGAAATGCAGGAATCACCCATTTTCTGCATCGCTCACGCTGGGAGCTGTAGACTGGAGCTGTTCCTATTCGGCCGTCTTGGAACCGCCCTGGACATTTCAGTTATAGGGAAAAATATCTGTTAAGCACTGAAGTAGAGGAAAACTTGGTTATATCAGGCAACAGTAAAACTGATGCTTTGGAATTTTAGAGGGGTGGGTATGAATGGAAAATGAGGCTGCAGGAATGGATACAAATGAAATATTACATATTTTATTTTTCATATGTGGTTGTTCCAGGACTATTTTGCAATTTTATGAATCAATGAGAACCTCAACCACTTTTGATTAAATGAGTTATAGCAATAGGTGTTACCATATTAGACACTAAAACAAATTACAAATTATTAATAGTTAATTTAATAATAATAAAAGCTGTATGTATTAACACAAATAGTATGTTTTATTTTAAAAATAGCTACATTTCTCAAAAGCATAAAACTTAGTAAAAGGAGTGACATAGTTTTATATTTTTTAAAAGCTATTTAAAATGTATGGCTTAATAGAAAACAGCTCTTTGCTCATACAGGTATCTGCATTTGGTTTGTTATAATATTTTTTGGTTGAAGTATGTGAAGAAAATTTTACCTCACACATATTTGTAGTTAGGTTAGGAGAAGAGTATTTTAATAGACTTTCAAATTGCTGTAGATATTCTTCACAAATACACCAAAATTTGATAAGCAGTGTTTAATAAGGATTTGTTACAATGCAAAATCTGAAACCATGCGTTAACTTTTTTCACACTATTATTTTGAAATATATTTACATGTTTTGCATCTTGAATGAATCTTATGCATGATTTAACAACATTTTAAATTAGTTATTTGGAAATTATAAGATCACTGAATTATTTGAGGATCTTTCAAAAAGTGATTCATTTCACTGTACAATTTTAAAAAAGATGACATTCTTTACTATCAACATCACCACTATCAGAAAAGACATTATTATTAGAGAAACTTAAAGCTTATGGTGGATACACATTTTCCAAAATTCTATGTGTTTTCTTTGAAACTCAAATTTTGTCATTGCTAACACATACCTTGAGTTGTTTCCCTTGAATTGGTAGGCTTGCTTATATCATTTTTGAGAATATGTCTGCCAATACTCGAGATTGAATAATAGGCCAGGTGCGGTGGCTTGCACCTGTAATCCCACCACTTTGGGAGGCCGAGGTGGGTGGATCACGAGGTCAGGAGATGGAGACCATCCTGGCTAACATGGTGAAACCCTGTCTCTACTAAAAAAAAAAAAAAAATACAAAAAATTAGCTGGGCATAGTGGCGGGCACCTGTAGTCCCAGCTACTTGGGAGGCTGAGGCAGGAGAATGGCGTGAACCTGGGAGGCGGAGCTTGCAGTGAGTGGAGATCACGCCACTGCATTCCAGCCTGGGCTACAGAGCGAGACTCCATCTCAAAAAAAAACGCAACAACAACAACAACAAAAAGATTGAATAATAATTGTTTTTCCCTTAGTCTTAGTCTTTCCTCCATGTAAAATGGCATAAAGCCATTTATATACTACACAGCTAATACAATTGCATAAACTCCTTTCCTTGAAACAATCACCACACTTTGGTGTGCAGCAGAGCAGATTTATATGTAGTTCCCATGGCATTACACAGAACATGACATACTTTCAAGGATTCAGATTTAATAAAATTAATAAGTTTATTGCTTTAAGTACATTCTTGAGTAAGATTTGCTTTCTTTATTTTTTCTTCTGCAAGTTCAAGGAGGTAAAGTGTACAGTGACTACTTACTCTAGTTTGTCACTGCTTCTGCTATTTATGCTAACACATAAGCAGTTTATGGGCTCATGCTGTTGAACCACCAGTGTAAATGTCACCACAATAAAGAAGGTGAATGCTATCTTTGTATTATTCTGAAAATAGTTTTCAACATGTAGAACATATGAAAGGAACTTTGGAGCCCCCTGGGGGTCCACAGACCACACTTTGAGGAGCACAGGTGTAAAGGGAATTCAACTTTATCCTATGACCAAGGAAAACATTGACACATTTTAAGCAGAGGAATGGCAGGGTCATAACTTATGTTTCAAATATTTATTCCAAATTTTGAAAACAAACCCTTATTATGATACTAAAATATACTCTTTTCAAATTAGTATGTGAGATTTAAATTGATCCCTGATTAACATTTCCTAAAAAATAACTTTAAGAAAACACCTCTTAAATTACTCGTTAAGGCAAAGAAAGCTAATGCAATTCATAATAGCATTTGAACTAAAAAAGCAAGACAGTGTTGTTGAGTAAATGCATGTAATCCAATAAATCACCTATAAAAATAGTAAAGAGGAAGCTTACTTCAAAAGTGACTGTCATAAATCCATCAGAATGGATTCAGAAACTCAAATGGAGAGGCCATTACCATGCTTAGGGGTCATGGAACAAAAGAGGACATGGGTTACTGAAGCTAAGTGAGACATAGAACTTTGACAGAAAGGCCTCCTGGCAGTCACTGCAGCCTTCGGAATATACTGCTAATATCATAACAAGGAGACTGCATGCAAGAAATATGTCGATTCTCTCACCTTCCACGCTCTGATCTTGGCTTGTAATTCCCATTGGCTGAACCCAATCCAAAACTTACTGTAACAATATGAATAAAGTTATATTCCATAGAGCCTGGCCTTCTTTTCACAAAGCTGAAAAGAGGAAGTGAATAATGAATTTGGGGGAAAGGAGGCAAATGAAAAAAAAAAAATAACCAGTAGCATACTGCCCTAATTTTTATCCTATTATTTTCCTCTTCCTCTAAAATAGTTGAGTATTCTGCCTTAAATAGGGAATCGGCTGAATTAGAGTAGATTGAAGCTTTTTTATAAGGCAGAGAATAACAGGATTTTTTTTTGTAAAAGAAGTCAAATATAAGAAGGAATATTTTTGGCTGGTTGCAGTGGCTCACACCTGTAATCCCAACATTTTGGGAGGCCGAGGCAGGCAGATCACCTGAGGTCAGGAGTTCGAGACCAGCCTGGCCAAAACGGTGAAATCCTCTCTACTAAAAATACAGAAAATTAGCTGGGCATGGTGGTGGGTACCTATAATCCCATCTACTCAGGAAGCTGAGGCGGGAGAATCGCTTGAATCCAGGAGGCGGAGGTTGCAGTGATCCGGGATCACACCACTGCACTTCAGCCTGGGCAACAGAGTGAGACTCTGTCTCAAAAAAAAAAAAAAGAAAGAAAGAAAAAAAAGAAGAAATATTTTTAATATATTTTAACTGGATTTGGGGAAATACTTAGGGTTCTCCTCGTGAACAGTAAGTGTCAGAAGCCATATGATACATAATTAGATATTGTTTAATTTTCAGCTTGCATTTCCTTACCAAGAGAACCAAGTTACTTTAAAAAACCTCTGATTTATCAATTTCCACAGGTTGTGTGTTTCACACATGCAATCTCTGCACTTTTCTCCCAAACTAATGATGCTGCTGGGGAACAAAGCTCGCAAAATCCATGATATATAATGGAGCCCAGACTTTTAAGGATTTGTGAATGGATGCCAATGATGATAAAATGCTTAGAATTTTCAAGGAGATTTTTGGGAAACTGTTCTCATAAAAAAAAAAAGAGTTTCAGCAGTTGATTTATTTTTCCTGTGCTGATAACATTCTCTCCATATATCCCCATGCTAAACCCACCTCCCAAGTCTTATAATTTATATTAGGTGGTGGTGGAATGACAGAGTATTGGAGAAGTAAGACAAGCTTACAAATTTTTCTACAAGAATACTGAGTCAAGCATGAGCTTGAAAATTCTCAATATTAATAGTCATTAGGAAGAAAATAAAGTCAATAAAGTCAGTAAAATTCTGCCCACCATCAGTATCTATTTTTGTGATCTTAGGTTCCTAGGGAGCACAGTATATAAGGGTCTGTTCTTTGTAACTGTAACGTTGATCATCCTCAATGCTGATCAAAATAAATAGAACGGAGCATATTAAAATAGTAAGTTTCAAAAATTCAGAAAGATTAGCTTTGAAAAAAGAATGTGCAGTTCAGCCAAACAATAAAACAGCTTATTAGCTCATACATCGCAAATCTAACCAAGCACGATGATTTTCTATGAGAATACAAATATTTATTATTGAAGTATTCAGACATATTGTACTTTCACCTAAGATTAATCTTGCTGTTAGAATCCTACTGCACTGGCAGTTTTCATGTGCTTTTAAATATTTAATAGCTATCTCTAAAAGAGTGGCTCCATGCAGTATCATGTTCCTTTCAGAACTTAACTCCAACTGACTTTTGACAAGTAAATGAATGAAATCTAGTATAAAAAGGATTCAACACTTCCAAACTCAGAGACATAAAATATTTTTCCTCTGAGGTCACACTTCCTTTGATGTGCTGACATTGTCAGAAATGTTTTCTGTTATCAGGAAGAAATGTTACTTTAAAATAACATTTATATTTTAAATAGCACATCATGAGTATTATTAAAAAATTAAAATGAAACCAAAAGGAGTAAAGAATCACCATCTGAATCACTATCACTTCATATTTTATTGTTTAGCATTCCTAAAGTTCTCTATGCGTTTAATACTTTTAATTTTCAGTTTACTTTGCTAAATTGTTGAGGGCTATTTAAATTACCTTATTGAGGGCTATTTAAATCACATTCCTTCCAACTACATTCATCCTGATGTCTCTTGAGGCTCATGTAAATGTACATCCTGTGAACAGAACACAGAAATGCCAGTAGTCAATTTCCTTTGTCTCATACAGGAAATAGAATTATCAGTGATACTAGAGCACAAGCATATGCTCAGTAAATATCTCAAATTGACGTGATAAGAATAGAAGGTTCTTAATAGGTTGACAATATCCTCTTGTTATTCACACAGCACCCCAACACACACATATGTTGCAATAATCACAATATAGTTTTTTACATAAGGCTAAAAGAGGCAGAATTTTCAATTGGCCTCCATTTTACTTTGGGTGTGCATGTGCATTGTGTGTGTGTGTGTGTTTGAGATATACATAGTTTAAGGTATTATATTTAAATGAGAAAAAAGCATATCTTATAAAACAATCATGTAGTTGAGTTCAAGCATATTTTGTGTTGGTGGTCCCAGGAAACAAAACAAAACTTGAAGAGGCACATTTATTTTGGTTCTTTATATTGAAAGATGCATTTGAGTAGAGCCTGGAGGATATCAGAGAGCTTAGTTCCTAGAGCTTCCCCTGGTCAATAGAGAAGGGAGAGATGGAAGGTCATTCAGATGGATTCCAAAAGCTGACCTCTATTACAAATGCAGATTGTGCCTGTGGATAAAGTAATACTACTTATGTAATTTTTCAAGGGCACCATAATTGGTAGACAAGAGTCCGGGAATATTAAAAAATTACCATTAATTAACACATTGCTCTCATTTAAACAGCAGATTTCCTAGGCTTCACCTCTTAAATAGCTCTAAAGCTGCCCTATAACTTGACATTTTGATGGTTAATTACTGAGTTGATGGATCAACATATTTAAGGATTTTTTTTATCATCTTGCTGTTTCTCCACGTTTAAAAGCTGTTTATCACTTGAATGCTATTTTTCAATCATCTCGCTGCCACAGCCTACTTAAGTGACATGATTCACATCCATGATTCACTAGTACAGTGACTTGATCATGCTAGTGAGGAGAGCAGCCTTTGTAAGAACATGATGAATGACAATGAGTGATAAGGAGGGACATGGGGCTCAGTTTCGCCCTGAAACATACAAATACACACTTACGTTCGCACGCCTGCATATACACAGAAATCCCTGGCTTCGCTCTCAAAGATTCCAGTAAAAAAGTATTCATTTTTAGATGGCACCCTGGAAGTACTTGTTATATTTGTCATTAGTTAACTATTTTTTAATGCCCCCATTTTTATTGATATGTAATAGTTGTATATATTTATGAGGTACATGATATGTGCATACTACATGTAATGATCAAAACAGGGTAGTGAGTAGATTGATGGTTATGAGAGGCTGGAAAGGGTATGGAGAAGAGGGGCATAAAAAGGAGTTGGTTAATAGATAAAAAATACAGTCAGATGGAAGGAATAAGTTCTGGTGTTCAATAGCACAGTAGGGCTACAATAGTAAAAAATAGTTTTTTGTATATTTGAAAATAGAAGAGAAGATTTAGAATGTTGTTAGCAGTTGGCTATTATAAAATCATTTTCCTTAGTTAAAACAAATGTGACAATTGCTAAATGTATAGCAAAATCACATCTTCATAAATAACTGAGAAAATGTGCCATTCTCTATTTTTTTAGTCTGAAAATTATACTTCTGAGTGTCTTGAAAATGGGCAGAATTATTTGTAAGTTTCGTTATCATTCTGACCACCATCTATCTAGAGAAAAAAATAGAAATATAATAGGAAAAGTCTGCTTGGTATACCATGGTGCTACTGCCCCCAAGACAAGCCATACATTTTAATTAATTTTGAAGTTTTATTCTGAGCTTATTTATTGTTTCCCAACAGAAGCTTCCAATGGGAAACAAATTCCATCCATCAGATGCACGTGGAAAGACATTCAAATATAATTCTGAGTTAATTAATGACAAGGGAATATGGGCTTGATAAAAATCCAGGCAACATAATGAAAAGATGAAAACTCAGGCCCTATTTGAAATCTAATCAATATAAAGAATAGAAATATGATGATTTTTGTGACATATGGTGAACAGGAAGAAACTTGTTAGGCTAAACATTTTAAAAATTCAGGACACATTTTCAAGTGCAAGTTCAGTTTCTTATTTTAGAAAATCTATCCTTTCAAAGGAAACTTGAAACTAAGAGTTTGAAGGAAATATAACTTCTCAGATAAGAACCTAATTTTATGCCTCATATGAGAAATTTCAAGATAAAAATTAAATAATCTTCAGAGGATATTTAATATGTTAAACCCATTAAAAGCTGGGCCAATGTAGAAAATAAACTGTTAGAATCCTCAGGTGCAATTAAAAAATTAGTTGTCATTGTAATTTTGTTTTGAGCAACTTCAAATTTAGCCAGATTTTCAGATTATTGCCATGTATGCCTCCTTTTCAAACAGGATTTTTGTCTTATGAAAATTCCACTGACAGCCACTAAAATCGAAAGAGACATGTCTAGAAGAGTATTTCAGTTTTGAATCAGTTGTGAGCTGCTGATGAGATGAGATATAAATAACTGGAATAAATTACCATAGGTGAAGAAAAATATTACATTAAAAGTTTGAAATTACCCAGAGAACTTTAAACTCAACGTTTGAAGAATTTGACATAATACCTTAGGGAAAATGATGTGTTTGCTCTTTATTGACCTTCCTTTTCTAAATTGAGGTGATGAATTTTCTAATACTAGAAAAATATCTTAGTTTTCTTCTCTCTCTGGGATTCTCTGCTCATTTAGTTTATGATTACACCTTCTTTGTGGTAGGATATTTTAATGGAGGAAGCAAAAATAAAAATTGGGACCTTGTAGCTCTAGATTCTAGTCTCTGGGTAAATTTCCTAAATATCTTAGTTATATAGCAGATGTGCTAATTGGGTTTTATCTGAAGCTAGTGTAAGTATAAAGCTATTTATTAATCATGAGTTCTCATAAGCCTTACCCCAAGAAAATAAGCCTATGTTTGAAGGTGAGGACATTGCAACAAAAAAAAAAAAAGAAAGAAAGAAAGAAAAAAAGAGTTGAATAATTACACACATCTTTTGTATAATCAGTGATGAGTATTAACAGTGGGTTGTCACTTTGGGAGTTGGTATGAACAGGAGATAGCTCCTCACTGAGCTTAAGCATGGGACAAGGAAAATAATGGGTACCATTAAATAGTCAAGGTAATTAATCTGAATATCCTCCTGCAATTCTCATACATTATTTTGATAAAATTGATAGAAATTTTAATTCAATATATGAAAGAAATATTGCTTGGGGCCTGGTATAGCTTGAAAATCATAAATTCCATTATTACACTTTTTCAGCATTTAAATACTTTTTATTTCTACATTGCTTTGTTGGATATGAGACATTAACACATCTTAAAGAGTGCTACCCTTAGAGAGAGAGAGAGAGAGAGAGAGAGAGAGAGATAGAGAGAGGAGAGATAAGATTATATAATTAGCAAGGCAATCAAACTATATGCTAAATGTTGGACACAATTAAACTTCTATTGAAATGTGTACTTATTTAGTTAAAGTTGTCAAAAAAGTTGTTAATATTATTTCATTATTGGAAGTAGAGTTTTAGAAGGGCTGCACTCCTTAGAAATATAAACATCACATAGTAAGACTTAGTCTAATATGCATGAGATGTCTAAAAAAATACTACAGCTTACCTCCAGATGTTCCAGGGAAGGCCCAGGAAGTTTGGTTTGAGGTAGCATAAATTATAAAGAAAAAGTATGGTCTCTGATTGAGCTTGAAGGGCATAGAGCATTCCAAACAAATAGAACAAAAATTTAACAAACATTTTATATATATTATATATATATTTATATATAATATAATAATATATATATTTATAAATAATATAATAATATATATATTTATATATAATATATATATTATATATGTTATAAAATATATATATATACACACACAAAGAAGTATACAAATGACATTTGGCTTCTCAAAATCAATAGTGAGACAAAACTGCAATCAATCAATGGCTCCAGTGTTATGGGGAAAAATCTCTTCAGCCTAGAATTCTGTACAAGCCAACTTTGCAACCAAGTGTGTGAGTAAAACAATGACATTTCAAAATGGAAAGTGACTCAGAAAGAATGGCATACCCATTCTTTTTGGAAAGTTACTTGAAGATAAACTACTCTAAATTAAGAATATAGAACAACAGTGGAAACGTGGGATACAGAAAAGCAATGTAAAGAATTCTAGGAAGCACAACATGGAAGGGTCAACTTGACAGCTGTTTGGCAGATTTAGAGAGCAATTGGTCCCATTTTGAAGATGGAGAAGAGTAGGTGATTACAGGGAGGTCTCTGAAACATACATCTTATAGAATATTTAATTAAATAAAAAAGTTTGAAAAAAGCCATAAGCTTAAATAGTTCCAGAAAAATATTGATTTCAAAATTCCCAGAAAAGCAAAACAAAAATCAGTACAAGAAAGGAGAGATAAATATGCTCATTGGAATTTGCAGTAAATAACATTGGCTAGTTCAAAACAATTGCAGAAGAAATTATTACTATTACAAACCTTGTGGACATATAAAAATCAAAGTTAAGAGCTCTAAGAAAAGGCAGGAGAGTGAATACCATGCAACAGGTTCTGTTTATAGTTGTTGAAAGAAGGACATAAGTAATTGGTGCACTATTTTAAAGTTAAGAAGATAATTGAGAAAGAAACTTAATTTAAAAAGTGGTTGTGGTTGAACGGGGGAAGATATATATAGCTAAACTATAATATAACATAGTATTAAAAATTATATCTAAAATCGATAAGCCAGAAGAATACTTAATGCGGATTATATAGATCTGTGCTATCCAACACAATAGCCACTAATCATATGTGGCAATTTAAATTTAAATATGATAATCTTAAGTCATACTAGCCACATTTCGGGTGTTCAAGAGTCGTGTGTGACTAGTGCTTATCATATCAGACCATGCATATAGAATATATCTATAATCACAAAATCACAGACTCATACATGCTACAGCATAGATGACACTTGAGGACATCATGTTAAGTGAAATAATCCAGTCACAAAAGAAGAAACACTGCATGATTCCACTGACATGAGCTACTGAGAGTAGTCAAATTCATAGAGACAGGAAATAGAATGATTTTTTGCAGGAGCTGTGACAAGTGGGAAAGGGAAGTTATTGTTTAATAGGTACAGAGTTTGCGTTTTGCAAGATAAAAATAATCCTAGGAAATTCTTGATGACGGTGATGGTTGTACAACAAGGTGAATCCACCTAATGCTTTGAAAGTGTGCACTCAAAAATGGTTAATATGGTACATTTCAGATCATGTGTATTTAATATAATTTTAAAAATAAAATACAATAGAAAACACATAAGAAAAGCTAATAATAGATATCATTCCGTAGTGATTTTAACTAGTCACATTCCAAAGAACAGTATTAGTCCTTGAGCGGTACATTTCAGAAAACTCTTAACCTACTAAACACTCCAATTATTGATCTCCACATACAGTTTACGGTAAAGGAAAATGGAATACATGCTCAGAAGTTACGTTTGATGATTCACCTTGCATCTAGAAAGATAAGCTTACCTGAATCAATATAAATCTTTAAAGCAATTAGAATCTTCAGTTTTTCTGCAATACATAATTGTATAAGGATAGAGTAAAATGGGTGTAGAAGACTTTCATGACGTCAAGTACGAAATGTGGATTTGGTCATGGAAGATAAATGGGGATAGCTTGAAAGTCCTTCTCTTCAGTATGAGGGACATAGAGGTTCCTAACATTATGGGCCTGTGTAAAATGTAATAAGCCACACTGGGCAATGAGAGAGCAAACTAAGAAATGTATTTTATGAAGATCTTTAAAGATAGAATGGATATTTATCTTTTCAGCTAGATTTAGACCTAACTCATTGTCAGTTAAGTGATTTTTTCATGTATATATATATTTTTTTACCATTAAGAGGAATTACCTGTATTTGGCTCTGAAAATAGCCATACTATTAGCCATTTTATACAAGTGTATTCTTCGTAACCAAAAAACGTTCAGGAATATCAGTTGGATTTTCTCAGGATCACCATAGTATTAATCCTCAACCTGAAAACAAATTGTGTTTTAAACTATTAAAATTATATGTGTGACAGAACATTCATAATTTCTCCAAATAAAGACCATCATACTGATTGTCCTCAATGGAATATAATGTGACTTTTCCTTTCAGATAAATGTAAAATACACAATAGCTTGAATTGCTATTGCAGTGATACTCAGTCAAATTACTTCCTCATTTACCATTAAATGCTATAGATTCCATGAAATGAAGCTTGAAATGTAGGGTCAGAGATCATGCTCTTCTCTCTGCATCTCATTAATTCCAGTATGGTTTCAAGATAAATATTAGATACAGGGCAGAGTTACAATATTGAATGCATTAGAGAAAATAGTGTTGATTTGCAAAAAATAGAAATATTAAAATAAGCCATTATTCATCAGAGTATAGCATGCTAGTTCTCTGAGAAAAATAAACAATTCATAACTCTTTCCCTCAGTGAGCTCACAGTCTCATGAGGGACATCATCAAGAGGCAATGTTTTAAGCACCTGTATATGTTGCTTTAACACTTCATATTAGACATAAAGTCAATGTTTGAGAAACAACTGAGGTATCAGAGGTTTTGGTCAACTAAAGTCAAAGATGACACAACACTGAAGAAGAGTTATAGCAGTATATCAGATAATAACTAGGTAGAAAAATATAGGAAAGACATTCCAAAAGGAAAGAAAAGGCATGCAAAATGTGAGGAACCAAAAAGAATACCATATGCATAAAATAGAAAGTACATCCATGTTACTGGGATGCAGCAGGGGATAATAAAACAATGGTAGCAATAATAATAATAGTTGTATAATTTACACAACAAATCTTTCTAGAATATCTGTTATATGCCATGACTTGTTTAAGAGCAAAATACAATTTATGGAATGTTTTTATGTATATGACACTATTTAAAGCCTATATATATATATATACACATACATATCTTCCTATATATGTGTGTATATATATATATCATGTAATTTATGCAAAAATCATAACATCAAATTTATTTTCATTCTAAATGTGAAATAATTGATGTTCAAAAAGTTAAGGAATTAGCCTAAGATGGCTCATTCAATAGCTTGTTGAGCCAGGATTCAAATCTGTTATGTCTGACTTACAAAATGAGCATATAACCTCTGAGAAATGAGGTCAGCAAAGAAGATAATTATTAGATTAAGGTTTCTGTGCTCCCATGAACCCAATGCAAGTAAACATATGAAATATTTATATCTGTAACTCTTTCTTGCTTTGAAAAAGTCATCAAAAATTTTGTAAAATTATGTTAATATGCTATAGTTTTATTTTAAGTAAATGAGGGGTGAGTTTTCATCATGAAGCAAGTAGCAATTTGTAATCAATTGTCATTGTCATTTTCATGTATGAATCCTATAGTTTCTTTTAAATTAAAGCAAAGGGACTGTGCCTTGCTGCTAATATTATGGATGTCTTTATTTACTTCTTTAACAGGCCTAGCTTTAGTAGAAGGTGTCAAAGAAAAAATATGAATACTTTATAAAACTTTGGTTTTATTTTTATAACCAATGTTATTAGGTCACAAAAGTCACAGTGGTCTTTGTGTTTAATTCTTTTACCAATAAAAGCAAGAAGCCAACAAAGCTGAAGAACCACATTAAGAATGCCCCTCTTGTAAATTTCTTTTTATCCCATTGCTAAGTGTTTAAGTGAGAAGGATGCTGAAATACAAAAGGCAGGAACCTTATGAAAGTTGAATTTGGTCAAGCAAAAACATAAAACTAAAAGCATTGCCTCCAAATCCACTTTGAAACTTTGTAATTGTATTGCATGAGACACAACTGGGGGCATCTTGATGCAACAAGTTTTCTGGCACTGACTGAGCTGTTTTATGACTTGAAGCAGTTGAAGATAGTTGAAACAGATTTTTAAAAATATGAGCCTACTGATTGCAGGAAAGAATTGTGAAGTGCCCCAGAGGGAACTCTTCGTAAGGGTAGAAAAGTCTGAGCTGATGACTTGTGTTCAGCACCAACTCCTTAATAAAAGTATGTCTGGCATCCTGGCAGTGTACAGTACCATGGGAGAATCAGTGAGCATGTGGGTAGTGTGAATTGGTGAACCTCTTTCATTAAAAGTTCTAATACCTTGAGACCCAGTCCTCTTTACTGTAGGGCTCCATCCCTTTCTGAAGTCACAGCATGGCAGAGAGCAGGCCAGCAGTTTCTAGAAGTGGCAATGACAACAGTGTGCCCAGCTCTCCCTCAATGGTAATGGCAGAGGTCCTTGAGATGATCAAGACCAGCTATTTTGGTGACTCAGTCTTCAGAATATATCAAGCGCCCTCCTGGATGAGGGTAGATTCAAAGATATCAGTAAACGCAGCACACTTGAATGGCTGACTTCTGAGAAGCACTTAGAATAAATCTTTACCAAAGTCACTGAACAAATTGAGTGACAATGTAAGAAAGAAAGGTGTCTGTTAACCTTAAAATATCTGCCCTATATTCTAATAGTTGGAACCATTTCATAGAAAAGAAAAAGAAAAGTTCAACTCTGACCTCTACTCTCACCATTTGATTGTAATTTTGTATTGACAGTTCTTCATTCAGCCAAAAACTTATTTTCAGCTGCTTTGTATTCTTACTCATGCCAGCAAAACACAATTCCTAATTGATCCACTTTAAGAAATGCCAAAACTCACTGTAGCTTTAAAGAGGTAAATATGTATTTTTTCATATTATTTCTGAGAAAAACTACTTGGCATGAAAATCTTGGTTCTCTGACCACAGAGAGAGCCCCAGAGATGCTTTTTAAAGTGTGATTTTGCTGCTTTTATGCATAAGCCTAGATGTCTCTGTAAGTTTTAGCCTTGCTATTGGCAAGCATTGGATTCAGAATTCCTAAAACCAACTTATTTCTTGAAATAAACATTGTCATCATACCGAGCCTGGGCATTTTCAAGATGCCATCAAAAAATGAAAAGAGAGTTCACTCATGATTTGGCTCTCTGTTATTGGTGTATAAGCATGCTTGTGATTTTTGTACATTGATTTTGTATCCTGAGACTTTGCTGAAGTTGCTTATCAGCTTGAGGAGATTTTGGGCTGAGACAATGGGTTTTCTAGATATACAATCATGTCATCTGCAAACAGGGACAATTTGACTTCCTCTTTTCCTAATTGAATAACCTTTATTTCCTTCTCCTGCCTGATTGCCCTGGCCAGAACTTCCAACATTATGTTGAATAGGAGTGGTGAGAGGGGGCATCCCTGTCTTGTGCCTGTTTTCAAAGGGAATGCTTCCAGTTTTTGCCCATTCAGTATGATATTGGCTGTGGGTTTGTCATAGATAGCTCTTATTATTTTGAGATACAACCCATCAATACCTAATTTATTGAGAGTTTTTAGCATGAAGGCTGTTGAATTTTGTCAAAGGCCTTTTTTGCATCTATTGAGATAATCATGTGGTTTTTGTCTTTGGTTCTGTTTATATGCTGGATTACATTTATTGATTTTTGTATGTTGAACCAGCCTTGCATCCCAGGGATGAAGCCCACTTGATCATGGTAGATAAGCTTTTTGATGTGCTGCTGGATTTGGTTTGCCAGTATTTTATTGAGGATTTTTGCATCGATGTTCATCAAGGATATTGGTCTAAAATTCTTTTTTTTTGGTTGTTTCTCTGCCAGGCTTTGGTATCAGGATGATGCTGGCCTCATGAAATGAGTTAGGGAGGATTCCCTCTTTTTCTATTGATTGGAATACTTTCAGAAGGAATGGTACCAGCTCCTCTTTGTACCTCTGGTAGAATTTGGCTGTGAATCCGTCTGGTCTTGGACTTTTTTTGGTTGGTAAGCTATTGATTATTGCCTCAGTTTCAGAGCCTGTTATTGGTCTATTCAGAGATTCAGCTTCTTCCTGGTTTAGTCTTGGGAGGATGTATGTGTCAAGGAATTTATCCATTTCTTCTAGATTTTCTAGTTTATTTGCATAGAGGTGTTTATAGTATTCTCTGATGGTAGTTTGTATTTCTGTGGGATCGGTGGTGATATCCCCTTTATCACTTTTTATTGTGTCTATTTGATTCTTCTCTCTTTTCTTCTTTATTAGTCTTGCTAGCGGTCTATCAATTTTGTTGATCTTTTCAAAAAACCAGCTCCTGGATTCACTGATTTTTTGAAGGGTTTTTTGTGTCTCTATTCCTTCAGTTCTGCTCTGATCTTAGTTATTTCTTGCCTTCTGCTAGCTTTTGAATGTGTTTGCTCTTGCTTCTCTAGTTCTTTTAATTGTGATGTTAGGGTATCAATTTTAGATCCTTCCTGCTTTCTCTTGTGGGCATTTAGTGCTATAAATTTCCCTCTACACACTGCTTTGAATGTCCTTTGTAGGGTCATGGATGAAACTGGAAACCATCATTCTCAGCAAACTATCACAAGGACAAAAAACCAAACACCGCATGTTCTCAGTCACAGGTGGGAATTGAACAATGAGAACACGTGGACACAGGAAGGGGAACATCACACACCGGGGACTGTTGTGGGGTGGGGGGCTGGGGGAGGGATAGCATTAAGAGATATACCTAATGCTAAATGATGAGTTAATGGGTGCAGCACACCAACATGGCACATGTATACATATGTAACAAACCTGCACGTTGTTCACATGTACCCTAAAACTTAAAGTATAATAATAATAAAATTTAAAAAAAAAGAAATGAAAAGAGAATATTCAGATCTTTTCTACTAAACAAATATTTTCTTTGTTTTCATAAACTACATATTTAAATACTTGATTAGATTTACAGTGGGTGTGTTGTTTTATTGTACTTGATGGAAAATAAGAACCAACTTTATGAAAAAGACTAGTTTTTGCATGGCTTGTCATACTTTACTCAAGGGAAAAAATTATGCCTTTTAGTCTTTTGTTGATATCATGGGTATTGTTGAAATCAATTTCTTTCTTTCTTACTACTTTTTTTTGTCAAGTTGTCACTCAACAAGAAGGAAATGAAGGTGGACAATTAGGCAAACGTCCCAGTGCTGGACAAAGCATTTTCACTGGCTACAGTTGACTGGCAAAGCCTTTTAAATGCATCAACTGAAGTCTGCAAATAATTGGACACACTAGCTAAATCTTCCAACATTTGCTTATAATATAAATATTTAAATATGCGTTTATGCCAGATGCTAGTAATCTAGTACATTAGATACATGCTATTAGGTATACATTCGTGTCTTCAATCTCTTACCACTACTTGCATACATACCCTTTATCGTATAACTTTTCAGTGCATCTCACTATGCCTCTCCAAGTCTTGCTTTGGCCAGTGGGATATTGGCAGATATGCTACAAGATAAGTTTGAAGATTACCAGCCAGTTTCTACTTGCCTTCTTGCACATTTGTAATTTCTTTGGTGAGAAAGCACTCAGGCTGGTCATTAGCCTTAGAAGGAGAAGATATATAATGTTATAGCACAATGTTTCATCAGCAGAGCCTAGTCTAGATTTTCAGGTACATGAGTAATACTAACCATATGCCTATCAATGAGTAACCAATACAGTTCCTATAACTCTTTGTCAATACACGCAGAATGAAATGTTGGTTTTTCAAATATGGCTGCAATTATTTTAGGATAAAGGAACATGTGCAACCTAAATTCAACAATATGACACTTTAGGTAATTCTGGTGTACTGTAACATAGGTCTATCTTTTACGGTAAAGCATATTGTAAGAGTTTTTTTTCTTTTTTTAATTACACAGTTCTGAGCGATCAAGCTTAGCAGGAAAATACTACATGTCAATGAAGAAAAAGTCTTCTTTTCATAGATATAAAATCTGCTTCCAGGGTGCTCAATTAAGAGAGCAGAGCACAGGCTGGATCTGAGCCTCCATTCACCCCTTCAGCTCAGTACTACAAAGTAGTTATCACATTGTGGCTCAGGAAAAAAAATGTCAAATTAAAAGGCAAAATGTAATGAGAGAGATGAATAGGCAAAGTAGAGAGGATTTTTAGGTCAGCAAAACTATTTTATATGATACTATAATGATGGAAACATGTCAGTGTACATTTGTCAAAATTTGTAGAATGTTCAACACCAAGAGTGAACCCTAATATAAACTATGGACTTTCAGTGATAATGGCAGTGTAGGTTCATCACTTGTAACAATTTTGCCATTCTGGTGTGGGATATTGATAGTGGGAGAGGCCAGTCTTGTGTAGGGGCAGGAGGTACAGAAGAACTCTGTTCTTTCTTCTCAATTTTGCTGTGAGCCTAAAATTTCTCTAAAAAATAGTCTATATTTTTTTATTGTAACGAATGTGGAGAAAACATTTGCATTGCAATGTCAAACACGGCTCCATAATTCAAACTACCTACTCAAGCCAAACAATGAATTTCTTAGTGAAGTTGACTTCTGAGTTAAAATAACATTTAATTTCTTAATTGTCACAATTTGGACATATTACTGCTTTTTAAATGAAATGGCTATTAATTTTTAATTAAAAGTTAATTATAAATTAGAAAATGTATATAAATGAAATGATATTCAATGTGTTACATTTAAAATTTTCTGGGTAGTGATTTATGTGCATTTTGGGGGGAGAAAGCAAATTTTTATCAGCTTCCTGAAGAAGACTGAGACCTCAAAATAGGAAAAGCTATAAACTAAAATACTCAAAAAATGTAAGGGAGTAAAATGATAACTTTTCATTTATTTTGAAATATAGCAGGTTTGAGAATTGAGTGAGGAAGAAATCAGAGGATGGTTGTGAAAGTAGAGGATATCAGGAAGACTGTGTAAGAGGTCCCCACCAGAAAATGATAGGAAAGAAAGCCATTTTGATACGAAGGAAAATACAAGGTAAAGAAATCAGCAACTGCCAAAATCTTTGAGATGCAAGTATGCCCAGTGTGTTCAAGGAACAGCAAGTGGATCAAGGTGGGTGGTGTGGAGTATGGACAAAAGCAATAGATGGTGTTGGAAAAACTAGCGGACTGGCGGTGGGAATGTGTGTCATCTTTAAGGATTATCTGAACAGAATAGCAAGCCATTGTCAAGTCTAACAAACTTTTGAGTATGAACTATGTGCTAGGAGTAGTTAACTTAGAATAAAAATATGTTTTCATGAATGTGCACTGTCCTAAGATTTGTGGTGAGAGACACATTATTTATGAACACAATAATCTCTGTGATATGGTTGGCTGTTTCCCCACCCAAATCTCATCTTGAATTGTAGTTCCCATAATCCCCACATGTGGTGGGAGGAACCCAGTGGGAGACAACTGAATCATGGGTGGGTTTCCCCCATGCTATTCTTGTGATGGTAAGTTTTCACGAGATCTGATGATTTTATAAGGGGCCTCCCCCTTTGCTTGGCTCTTCTCCTTCCTGCCACCATATAAAGGGCATGTTTGCTTCCCTTTCAGCCACGATTGTAAGTTTCCTGAGGCCTCCCGAGCCACGCTGAACTGTGAGTAAATTAAACCTCTTTTCTTTATAAATTACCCAGTCTCGTTTATGTCTTTATTAGCAGCGTGAAAACGGACTAATATACCCTGCTTTCAGGCTCTTTAAATGTGTTTGTTTGAAGAATAACACATATGCAAAATAGAACAAAAATTTATTTCGAAACTACATCATAAAAATATGCAATGCAAGTTGGAAGAAATGAAATAGTATAGAATAAGAAGACATATAGTATTTTATAAAGAAGGAGTCATTGATAATGGCTTTAGATAATGGACAAAAATTAGATAAGAGTTTCTAGTTTTACAGTAGTTTCTATTTTTCCTTCCTTCTTTCCCTCCTTGCTTCCTGCCTGCCTTCCTTCCTTCCTTCTTCCTTCCTTTCCTTCTTTATTTCTTTTTTTCTCTCTTTTTCTTTCTCTTTCTCTTTCATTTCCTTCCTTCCTTTTTTTTCTTTTTTTTTTCTTTTGAGTAAGAAGTATACTGACAATCAGGATGTTTGCCTAGAATAAATGAAAAAGTAAGTTATTAGCCCGGCAGCCAAATAAAACTATTTCAAAAATAGGAGCAAGGTCAACTCTGCAGATTGCAGATGAGAAGATGATTTAAAAAAGATAAAATAAAATTCTCAGGTAGCCAAAGGAATTGTTATAGTCTCACTGGTGACCTTGGGAAGACATTTTTATTATAATTCTGAAGAGAGGGCAATTAGAGAGAGTTGAAGAATGAATGAGGAACTCAGCTTCCACAGGGTCATAGACTATAAACACTTAGAAAATATGCTGCAAAATATAAAGATTTTTACCAAAACAAGCTAAACATTTAAAAATGTACTGTTGAACTAACAGAAAACTGAGAGAAATCACTAAAGGATTCATCAAGATAAACTAAGATCAAAAACAAGAAAATAAAGCAAACTCAAACACCAAAGGTACACTGGGAAAAAAAGAAGTCCTGGGGATGTAGTGCTATAGAGACATACAGCCTAAGTCAATAGCTGAACCTGAAAGAGGCTCCTTGCAGTGGCTATACCTCAGTGTAAATGGAGCCTAAAATAAAATAAAATCTTAAAGAAAATGTGCGATTTTGCTCTAAATAGAAAGTAAAAATGTAAGTCTTTCCCAAGAATAAGCAATGATAGCCTGCTTTCACATGGTTCAGGGGATAGAATATTTAGTTCCCCTGAGGCCAGGAAAACCTCAAGCCAAGATTATTAACTGGAAGCGGCTGCAGATTGTTAATGCCTAATGAAATCCAGGAGAATAAAAACTCAGATTTCCTCCAGAAAGAAGCAACTTTAACATCAGTACTGACATTAAAAATGGCAATGTACTTAGACACCAAATTATCAAAATTTTCAGTTATACAATATAAAATAACTTTGTATAAAATGTTTAAAGAAATTAAAAATTGGCTGAATACATAGTTGAGGTAAAGAAGATATCAAAAGTAACCAGGCAGGTTAAAAAACAAAAAGATTTCTGATTTAAACTCGAAATGTACAGAGTTTAGAAAACATCACTCTCTTTCACATAGCAAGAAAAACCTGGACAAACTAAAAGTCAATGACCTTGCTTGGACCCATTAGAGAACTTACTTAGGCTTCATGGCAAACTACCACCCTGAATCCAGAAAGCCAGATGCATCCAAAGGATGCAGGAACCAAGATCTGCTTACCTGAGCAGGACTCACTGGAGCCATAAACTAGTAGGAACACTTAAATGGTAGTTTTGACAAATTGCTGCAGGCTAAATGTCAACTAACATGAATGTGTTTCTTAGAGGCTGAAATCTTAGGACTCCTCCACTCCAACATTCTTGTGTTCTTTAACTCCAGGAATATGACCTGGTTCTCATGGTAAAGACCCAAGACAGTACCCCTCTTTCTTGGTCAGGAAGACTGAAAGGGTAATCATTACAAAAGACTTTTTTATAAGAAAAACCTATGGTCCAGGGAAAAGATTTTGCCAGAGCCTTATCTCAGCAGAGGGCAGGGCATTTCCCTGACTCCAGCCCCCTTTCCTCCCCATGTCTCACCTAACGAGGGAGGCAGGTTGCAGAAACGGTTATGAAGGTCACAGCCCAAGGACATAGACAAAAAGACTGAGATATATTCAGAAGATTATAGAATTTGTCACTCACACAGTTTATTACTGAGTGAGGAGTATTTCCTGCCGATGGGTTCATGGTCTTGATGGGTTCGTGGTCTGGATAACTTCAAAGAATGAAGCTGCGGACCTTCGTGGTGAACATTACAGCTCAAAAAGAGTCCACGGACCAGGAGAGTGAGCAGCAGCACAGTTTATGGAACAAAGCTAAAGGAAAGTGTCCACGTGGTGGAAGGGGACCTGTATGGGTTGCCCTTGCTGGGCCGGGTGGCTAAGGCTTATATTCCTGTGTTACTGCCTCCCCATTCTTTCTTTTTGCCCATTGAGCGTGGTTCTTTTTTCAGTCCTCCCTTGGAGTGGTTAATTTTGAATCCTTCACTCGATTGGTTAAGAACTCAAAACCCTGGGTCACAGAGGTCTTTTGCAAAAGCCCCCGAAGCGGCCCAGGAAGTCCCGCCAATTCCACCTCTCATTACCATACCTATAGGATTCCAGTACAATAAAAGTAGGTAACAACAGAAAAAGCTTCAAGACACATACTCTGTCTAAAAAGGAGTTTTTAGGGAAGCCCCAAATCCATAGAGAAGAGACAGAAAACAATGTCTCCAGAGAAATTTGAACCCACTTGTACCAACAGCTACAGAAAATTAAACACAGTATAACTCCTAGCCAAATAACAAAAATGCTCACACTAGGTCTATTTACTGCAGGTCCTGTGAGATTATACAATACGTTCAGTATTCAAGCTGTGCAATATGATGAGGTTTCTCTTCAAATAACCTGATCAATCCTCTATTCTTTAATTCACAGTACCCACTCCCCGCTTTCCTTTTTCTCTTTTTACTTCCTTTCTGCCTTTGTTACACGCCCAGACACACCACAGTACCAGGCGTTATCAGTACCAGCTCCCCTTCCTTTCCTTATTTGGAAAGAAGACTAGCTTTCTAGCTCATTGCAGACACCCCTTCCCCTTTCCCCTCTCTCCCTTATGTGCTCACCTGATCTAAAAAAAATGTTCAAAAGTTTAGCCAATCAGGATTAGTTTAGATTGTACGGCCTGACCTCGGCCAATGGGGAAAGGGTACAGGGGCAGGACTTGCATCAGGAGTAAACACTGTAATGCCCCTTTGTTCAGGTGTGCTCTCATGGTGACTGGCCAAAGAGAGGCACCCCTCTGCGCAGAAGTAAAATTGTTTTGCTAAGAATCCTTTGTTTGAGTATGCAATTTCCTTAGGATTTTGAGTGTTATTCCCAACAAAAACAAGTTACAAGACATGACAAAAACCAAGAGAAAACAAAGTCTGAACAGAAAATCATCAGAACCAGAGTCATATATGGCAGATATTGGAATGATCAGGTAGGAAATTTAAAATTCTGATTACTGTGTTAAGGATTCTAACTGAAAATGTAGACCCCATGCAAGAACAAATGGGTAATGTAAGTAGGTAGGAACTACAGGAAAGAATGCAAAAGAAATATAGTATTCCCCCTGTGTGAGAAGACAATATTATAACAAATGTAGTTAAAGATTTTAGTTGGCTTTCATTTGCAATTCTACAATCAGACATCTCATTCTAAAAATGCAATGAGTATTCCAATGAGCTGGGCAGAGTAGTTTGGTTTTATAGACAGAGAATTGCTGAAATAAGCAGAAAAAAAGAATGAAAAGCAATTTGGTCATTTCAAAGTTACATTATTTATAAAGGTTATAACGGAGGGAATTCCCTTATTGAAGCAGCTAAAACAGCTTGTTTGGGAATTTGGCTGCTATCTCTCAGTCTAAGGATTTCTGGGAAGGTCACAAAGACAACGTAGCTTCTGCCTGATGACATGGAACTTTAGTGTGAATAACTCCATTTTGCTTTGGCCAGTTGGGCCTAGTGCAGAAGCTCAGTTCAAATCAATGGCCTATAAATTGTATTTAATACCCTTATTACCTGGAGTTATGTTCTTAATACTCCCAGTGGATGCCTGAAACTGCAGATAGCATCAAACCCTATATATACTATGTTTTTTCATACACACACATACCTATAATAAAGTTTAACTTATAAATTAGGCACAGTAATGGATTAACAATGATAATTAATAATAAAACAGAACAATTATAATAATATACCCTAATAAAAATTATGTGAATTTCATCTCTAGCTCACACACACATGCATCCTCTCTCTCTCAACATATTGTAACCTACTCACACTTCTTATGATGATGATGTGAGATGGTAAAATTCCTGTGTAGTGGGATAAAGTAAGGTGAATGTTGTAGGCACTGTGACATTGTATTAGGCTGCTATTGACCTTCTAAGGATACATCAGAAGGAGGATCATCTGCTTTGCGTGACCCTAGACCTTTGCACCATGATGAGCTATGGAGATTTTTCAGACCGCAGTTGACCAAGGGTAATGAAACCATAGCAAGTGAAACTGAGGATAAGCAGGGATTACTGTATTAGAAAACAAATGCACTTTAGCAGAAATGAAGAATATTTCTGATGCATGGGCTCAATAATAGACTAGGCTTGGCTGAAGAAAGAATCAGTGAACTTGAAAACTTCGAAGATAAGTAAATAGAAGCTTTACAAACTAAAATGCAAAGATAAAAAAGAATGCAAAATTTTTTTAAAAAAACAGAAACAACAAGAACTGTGGGACAGTTTCAAAATGTGTAACATACATACAGGTGGAAGACCAGAAAAAGAATACAGACCAGGAGAAATATTTGAAGCAATATGGTCAAGAATGTTTCATAATTAATGACAGACACAAAACCAAAGAACTAGGATGCTCAGAAAACACCAAGCAGTATAAATATTAAAATCTTTATACCTTACGCATATATTCAAACTGTAGAAAACTAAAAGCAAAAAAGCAATTTTGCAAAAAGTCCATGTTGGGTGAGGTGGAAGCAAGAATAAAAATTGCAGTGGACTTCTTATCCAAAACCATGCATGCCAGAAAAGAGAAGAGTGAAATATCTGAAGTGTGAAAAGAAAAACAATAAAAAAAGCAAACACCAAATGACAATTGCATAGCCAGAAAAGGTATCCTTCAAAAGTGAACGAGAAATAAAGACATTGTATTATTCAATTTTCGTACTGCTATGAAAAAATACCTGAGACTGGGTAATTTACAAAGAAAAAGAAGTTTAATGGACTCACAGTTCCACATGTCTAGGGAGGCCTCACAATCACAGCAGAAGGCAAAGAAGGAGCAAAGACAGATCTTCCATGGCAGTAGGCAAGAGAGTGTGTGCAGGGGAACAGCCCTTTATACAACCATCAGATCTCATGAGACTTATTCACTATCATGAGAACAGCACAGGAAAAACCTGCTCTCATGATTTAATTACCTCCCACCACATCCTTTCCATGACACGTGGGGATTATGGGAGGTAGAATTCAAGATGAGATTTGGGTGAGGACACAGAGCCAAACCATATCATGCCACCTCTGGCCCCTCCCAAATCTTATGTCTTCACATTGCAAAACAAATCATGCCTTCCCAACAGTTCCCCAAAGTCTTAATTCACTTCAGCATTAACTCAAAAGTCTGCAGACCAAAATTTCAGCTGAGACAAGGCAAGGTCCTTCCACCTATGAGCCTGTAAAATCAAAAGCGAGTTAGTTACTTCCTAGATACAATAAGAGTACAGGCATTGGGTAATTACACCTGTTCCAAGTGGGAGAAACTGACCAAAACAAAGGGGCTGCAGAGTCCATGCAAGTCCAAAATCCTATAAGGCAGTCATTATAGTTCCAAAATGAGCTCCTTTGACTTCATGTCACACATCCAGGTCACACTGATGGCAAGAGGTGGGTTTCCATGGTCTTGAGCTGCTCTGCCCCTGTGGCTTTGCTAGGTACAACCCCCTTCCTGGCTGCTTTCACAGGTTGGTGTTGAGTGTGGCTTTTCCAGGTGCACAAGTGCAAGCTATGCAAGCTGTTGGTGCATCTACCATTCTGGGGTCTGGAGGATGGTGGCCCTCTTCTCACAGTTCCACTAGGCAGTGCCCCAGTGGGGACTCTCTGTGGGGGCTCCCACCTGATATTTCCCCTCTGTACTGCCTTAGCAGAGGTTCTCCATCAGGGCCCTAACCCTGCAGCAAATGTCTGCCTGGACATCCAGGGGTTTCCATACATTCTCTGAAATCTCTGCAGAGGTGCCCTAACCTCAACTCTTGACTTCTGTGCCCCTGCAGGCTCCATACCATATGGATAGTGCCAATGCTCCAGGCTTGCACCCTCAGAAGCTACAGCCAGTGATATACCTTGGCCCCTTTTAGCCATGGCTGGAGTGGCTGCGATGCAGGGCACCAAGTCCCTAGGCTGCACACAGGAGGGGGCCCTGGGCCTGGCCCATAAATCATTTTTCCCTCCTAGGCCTGTGATAGGAGCGACTGTCATGAAGGACTCGGATATGCCCTGGAGACATTTTCCCTATTGTCGTGATGATTAGCATTTGGCTCCTCATTACTTATGCAAATTTCTGCAGCAGCCTTGAATTTCTCCCCAGAAAATGGGTTTTTCTTTTATTCCACAAGTCAGGTTGCAAATTTTTCAAACTTTTATGCTCTGCCTCCTTTTGAAAACTTTGCCATTTTGAAATTTCTTCCAGCAGATACCCTAAATTATCTCTCTCAAGTTCAAAGTTCCACAAATTTCTAAAGCAGAGGCAAAATGCCACCAGTCTCTTTGCATAAAAAGAATGACCTTTACTCCAGTTCCCAATAAGTTCCTCATCTCCATCTGAGACCATCTCAGCCTGGACTTTATTGTCCATATCACTATCAGCATTTTGGTGAAAGCCATTCAACAAGTCTCTAAGAAGTTACAAACTTTCCCACATCTTCCTGTCTTCTGAGCCCTCCAAGTCTCTAGAAAGTTTCAAACTTTCCCACTTTTTCCTATTATCTTCTGAGCCCTCTAAACTGTTCCAATCTCTGCCTGTTACCCAATTCTAAAGTTGTTTCCACATTTTCACATAGTTTAATAGCAGTGGCCCACTCCTGATACCAATTTAGTGTATTTGCCCATTTTCATACTGCTATGAAGAAATCCCTGAGACTGGGTAATTTATAAAGAAAAAGAAGTTTAATGGACTCACAGTTCCACGTGTCTGAGGATGCCTCACAATCATGGTGAAAGGCAAAGGAGGAGCAAAGACACATCTTACATGGTTCAGGCAAGACAGCGTGTGAGGGGAACTAACCTTTATAAAACCATCAAATCTCATGAGACTTGTTCACTATCACAAGAACAGCATGGGGAAAAAATACAGTCATGATTCAATTACCTCCCACCATGCCACTTCCATGACATGTGGGGATTATGAGAGCTACAGTTCAAGATGAGATTTGGGTGGGGACACAGTCAAACCATATCAGACATTCTCTGATATTTAAAAAAAAAAAAAAAAAAAAAAAGCAAGGGAAATCATTGCCAACAGATCTTTGAAAGAAATGTTGAAGTAATTTGTTTAGAGGAAGAATTATATAGATCGAAACCGGGATATACCTAATGAAAGAAAGGATGGCAGAGAATGAATAAATGAAGATAAAATATCTTATTTTTATTAATCATAATTGACCTATTTTATATTTTATGTAAAGCACTAAGAACAATGTTGTAATTATAAAACAATGAATAAGTACTAGAAATTGGTAATAAACATTCTGTTATAGGATACCTGCATTGCATGTGAAGCCATGTAGTGATTGATATTTGAAGGCGGACTTTAAGTAGGTAAAATTGTGTCATGTAACCTCAAGAGTAACCACTACAATATTTTAATAGTTTTTAAATTTTATTTTTCCATACGTTATTGGGGTACAGGTGGTATTTGGTTACATGAGTAAGTTCTTTAGTAGAGATTTGTGAGAACCTGGTGCACCCATCACCCGAACAGTATACACTGCACCATATTTGTTGTCTTTTATCCCTTGACCCCCTACTCATTACCCCAAGTCTCCAAAGTCCATTGTATCATTCTTATGCATTTGTGTCTTCATAGCTTAGCTCCCACATATCAGTGAGAACATACGATGTTTGGTTTTCCATTCCTGAGTTACTTCACTTAGAAAAATAGTCTCTAATCTCATCCAGGTCATTGAAAATGCTGTTAATTTATTCATTTTTATGGCAGAGTAGTATTCCATCATATATATGTACCAGAGTTTCTTTATCCACTCATAGATTGATGGGCATTTGGGTTGGTTCCACAATTTTGCAATTGTGAATTGTGCTGCTATAAACGTGCATGTGCAAGTATGCTTTTCGAATAATGGCTTCTTTTCCTCTGGGTAGATACCCAGTAGGGGATTGCTGGATCAAATGGTAGTTCTACTTTTAGTTCTTTAAGAAATCTCCACACTGTTTTCCATAGCAGCTGTACTAGTTTACATTCCCACCAGCAGTGTAGAAGTGTTCCCTGATGGCCACATCCACGCCACTGTTTTTTGATTTTTTTTTATTATGGCCATTCTTGCAGTAGAAAGGTGGTATTGCATTGTGGTTTTGATTTGCATTTCCCTGATTATGAATGATGTTGAGCATTTTTCATATGTTTGTTGGCCATTTGTATATCTTCTTTTGAGAATTGTCTGTTCATGTTCTTAGTCCACTTTTTGATTTTTTTTTCTTATTGATTTGAGTTCATTGTAGATTCTGGATATTAGTCCTTTGTCAGATGTATAGATTGTGAAGATTTTCTCCCACTCTTTGGGTTGTCTGTTTACTCTGCTGACCGTTCCTTTTGTCATGCAAAAGTTCTTTAGTTTAATTAGGTCTCAGCTATTTATCTTTGTCTTTATTGCAATTGCTTTTGGGTTTTGGTCATGAAATCCTTGCCTAAGCCAATGTCTAAAAGGGTTTCCACAATTATAAAACCCTTTATATTTTTATAAAAATATAAAAATTATCTTCTAGAATTCTTATAGTTTCAGGTCTTAGGTTTAAGTCCTTAATCTATCTTGAGTTGATTTTTGTATAAAGGGAGAGATGAGGATCCAGTTTCATTCTCCTACATGTGGCTAACCAATTATCCCAGCACCATTTGTTGAAAAGGTAGATCAGTTGGCTGTAAATACTTGGGCTTATTTCTGGGTTCTCTATTCTGTTCTATTGGTCTATGTGCTTGTCTTTACACCAGTACCAAGCTATTTTGGTGACTATGGCCTTATAGTATAGTTTGAAATCAGGTAGTGTGATGCTTCCAGATTTGTTCTTTTTGCTTAGTCTTGCTTTGGCTATGCGGGCTCTTTTTTGGCTCCATATGAATTTTAGAATTGATTTTTCTAACTCTGTGAAGAATGATGGTGGTTTGATGGGGATTGCATTGAATTTGTAGATTGCTTTTGGTAGTATGGTCATTTTCACAATATTGATTCTACCCATCCATGAGCATGGGATGTGTTTCCATTTGTGTCATCTATGATTCCTTTTAGCAGTGTTTTGTAGTTATGCTTGTAGAAGTCTTTTGACTCCTTTGTTAGGTATATTCCTAAGTATTTTTATTTGTTTTTCAGCTATTGTAAAAGGGGTTGAGTTCTTGATTTAATTCTCCGCTTGGTCACTGTTGGTGTATAGAAGAGCTACTGATTTGTGAACATTAATCTTGTATCCAGAGACTTTGCTGAATTCTTTTATCAGTACTAGTTGCTTTCTGGTGTAGTCCTTATGGTTTTCAAGATAAACAATCATATTGTCACCAAACAGGGACAATTTGACTTCCTCTTTACTGATTTGGATGCCGTTTATCTCTTTCTCTTGTAGGATTGCTCTGGCTAAGACTTCCAGTACTGTGTTGAAGAGGAGTGGTGAGATCGGTGATCCTTATCATGTTATAGTTCTTGCGAGGAATGCTTTCAACTTTTCCCCATTCAGTAGTATGTTGGCTGTGGGTTTGTCATAGATGGCTTTTATTACATTAAGGTATGTCCCTTGTATGCCGATTTTGCTGAGGGTTTTGATCATAAATGGATGCTAGATTTTGTCAAATGCTTTTTCTGCATCTATTGAGATGATCGTGTGATTTTTGTTTTTAATTCTGTTTATGTGGTGAATCATATTTATTGACTTGTGTCTGTTAAACCATCCATGCATCCCTGTTATGAAACCCACTTGATCATGATGGATTATTTTTTGATATGTTGCTGGATTCAGTTAGCTAATATTTTAAGGATTTTAGCATCTATGTTCATCAAGGATATTGGTCTGTAGTTTTCTTTTTTGGTTGTGTCCTTTCCTGGTTTTGGTATTAGGGTGATACTGGCTTCATACAATGAATTAGGGAGGGTTCCTTCTTTATCTATATTGTGAAATAGTGTCAAAAGGAGTGGTTCCAATTCTTCTTTGAATGTCTGCTAGAATTCTGCTGTGAATCCATCTGGTCCTGGACTTTTTTTTGTTGGTAATTTTTAAATTACCATTTCAATCTTGCTGCTATTTTTGGTCTGTTCAGGGTATCCAATTCTTCCTGATTTAAGCTAGGAGGGTTGTATTTTTCCAGGAATTTATCCATCTCTTCTAGCTTTTCCAGTTTAAGTGTGTAAAGGTATTCATAGTAGCTTTGACTGATCTTTCATATTTCAGTGGTATCAGTTGTCATACCTCCTTTTTCATTTCTCAATGAGGTTATTTGGATTTTCTGTCTTCTTTTCTTGGTTAATCTTGCTAATGGTGTATCAGTCTTATTTATCTCTTCAAAAAACCAGCTTTTTGTTTCATTTGTCTTTTGTACTTTTTGTTTGTTTGTTTCAATTTCATTTAGTTCTGCTCTGATCTTGGTTACTCCCTTTCTGCTGAGTTTGGGTTTGGTTTGTGTTGTTTCTATAGTTCCTTGAGGCATGACCTTAGATTGTCCTGTTTGTGCTCTTTCAGACTTTTTGATGTAGGCATTTAGGGCAATGAACTTTCTTCTTAGCACCACCTTTGCTGTATCCCAGAGATTTTGATAGGTTGTGTCATTTAGTTCAAATGATTTTTTAATTTCCATCTTGATTTTGTTTTTGACCCAATGCTCATTAAAGAGCAGATTATTTAATTTTCATGTATTTGCATGGTTTCGAGGATTCCTTGTGGAGTTGATTTCCAGTATTATTCCACTGTGGTCTGAGAGAGTGCTTGATATAATTTCAATTTTCTTAAATTTGTTAAGGCTCATTTTATGGCCTATCATATGGTCCATCTTGGAGAAAGCTCCATGGGCTGTTGAATAGAACGTGTATTCTGTGGTTGTTGGATGAAGTGTTCTGTATATATCTGTTAAGTCCTTTTGTTCCAAGGTTTAGTTTAAATCAATTGTTTCTTCGTTAACTTTCTGTCTTGATGACCTGCCTTGTGCTGTCAGTGGAGTATTGAAGTCCCCCACTATTATTGTGTTGCTATCTATCTCATTTCTTAGGTCTATTAGTAATTGTTTTATATATTTGGGAGCTCCAGTGTTAGGTGCATATATGTTTAGGACTGTAATATTTTCCGGTAGGACAAGGCCTTTTACCATAATCACTGTTGCTTCAAAGTTTGTTTTGTCTGATATAAGAATAGCTATCCCTGCTCGCTTTTGGTGTACATTTGCATGAAATGCCTTTTTCCATCCCTTTAAGTTTATGTGAGTCCTTATGTGTTAGGTGAGTCTGCTGAAGGCAGTGGATAGTGAGTTCTTATCCAGTCTGCAATTCTGTATCTTTTAAGTGGACCATTTAGGCCATTTACTTTCAATGTTAGTATTGAAATGTGAAGTACTGTTGCATTCATCATACTGTTTGTTGCCTGCATGCTTTGTTTTTTGTGTTTTCTTTTTAACTTGTACTTTTTTAATGGGTGCTGTGTGCTTTATGCTTTAAAGACATTCTATTTTGATGTGTTTCCAAGATTTTTTTCAAGATTTAGAGCTCCTTTTAGCAGTTTTTATAGTGGTGACTTGGTTATGGCAAATTCTTTCAGCACTTGTTTATCTGAAAACAACTCTATCTTTTTTCTTATGTGATGCTTAGTTTCACTGGATACAAAATTCTTGGCTGAAGGTTGTTTTGTTTGAGGAGGTTGAAGATAGGGCCTCAATCCCTTCTAGCTTGTAGGGTTTCTGCTGAGAAGTCGGCTGTTAATTTGTTAGGTTTTCCTTTATAGGTTATCTGGCACTTCGTTTTCACAGCTCTTAAGATTCTTTCCTTCATCTTAACTTTGGATAACCTGATTACAATATGCCTAGGCAAAGATCTTTGTGCGATGAATTTCCCAGGTGTTCTTTGTGCTTCTTGTATGTGCATGTCTAGGTCTCTCACAAGGTTGGGGAAGTTTTCCTTGATTATTCCCCCAAATATGTTTTCCAAGCTTTTGGAATTGTCTTCTTCCTCAGGAACACCAATTCTTCTTAGGTTTGGTCATGTAATGTCTTGGAGGCTTTGTTCATATTTTCTTATGTTTTTTTTTTTTTTTGTCTTTGTTGGATTGGGTTAGTTCAAAGACCTTGTCTTCGAGATCTGAATTTCTTTCTTCTACTTGTTCAATTCTATTGCTGAGACTTTCCAGAGCATTTCACATTTCTAAAAGTGTGCCAAAGTTTCCTGAATTTTTTATTTTTATTTTTTTTTCTTAAGCTATCTATTTTGTTGGATATTTCTCCCTTCACTTCTTGTATCAGTTTTTGGACTTCCTTGCATTGGGCTTCACCCTTCTCTGGTCCCTCCCTGATAAGCTTAATAACTAACCTCCTGAATAATTTTTCAGATTAGCCAGGGATTTCTTCTTGGTTTGGATCCACTGTGGGTGATTTTTGAGGGGTGTTGATGAGCCTTGTTTTGTCATATTACTAGGGTTGGTTTTCTGATTCCTTCCCATTTAGGCAGTCTCTTTCAGAGGGAAGGTCTAGGGCTGAAGGCTGTTGTTCGAATTTTTTTGTCCCACGAGGTATTCCCTTTATGTACTACTCACCCCCTTTTCCTGTGTTTGTGGCTTCCTGTGAGCCGAACTGCAGTGATTGTTGTCTCTCTTCTGGGTCTAGCCATTCAGCGAGGCTACCCAGCTCCTGGCTGGTGCTGGGAGTTTCTGTACAGAGTCCTGTGATGTGAACTGTCTATGGGTCTCTCAGCCACGGATACTAGCGCCTGTGCAGGTGGAGGTGGCAGAGGGTTCAATGGGCTCCATGAGGATTCTTAGCTTTGTTGGTTTAATGTTCTATTTTTGTGCTGGTTGACCCCCTGCCAGGAGTTGGCGCTTTCCAGAAAGCATCAGCTGTAGTAATGTGAAGAGGGACTGGTGGTGGGCGGGGCCCTAGAACTCCCAAGATTATATATCCTCTGTCTTCTGCTACCAGGGTAGATAGGGAAGGACCATCAGGTGGCAGTGGGGCTAGGCGTGTCTGAGCTTAGACTCTCCTTGGGCTGGTCTTGCTGTGGCTGCCATGGGGATGGGGGTGAGATTCCTCTGTCACCAGAGTTGTGTACCTAGGAGGATTATGGCTGTCTCTGCTGAGTCATGCAGGTTGTCACGGAAGTGGGGAAAAGCCAGCAGCCACAGGCCTCACCCAACTCCCACGCAAACCAAAGGGCTAGTCTCACTCCCACTGTGCCATCCACAACAGCACCGAGTCTGTTTCCAGGTGGAGGGTGGGCTTGAAAATTTGCCCAAGGCTTTCCGCCTCCCACCTGGGAAAGAAAAGGGCTTTAGTTCTTTCCCCACCTGTGAATTCTGCAAGCTGGATTCACACCCTACCCCACGTTCTGGCCAGGAGGCTTCTAGCCTCGCTCAAATTGTTACAAAGTTGTTACAAAGTTCAGCTAGGGAAGTCCTTCTCCTCCTGGGGGTTTTACCTTATGCTCCTCTGGCCTCCCTCCTGATGGATTCCTGTGGTTCCAGGCAGGAATGGGCTGCCTGGGGATTCAGCGAGCTTCCAGGGCCTGCCTGCTGCCTCCTCCACCCCTTGTATTTTGCTCAGCTCGGCTCTCCATCTTGACTCAGCTCCAGGTAAAGTCGGGAACGTCTCCTGCAAACGGACACTTTCAGCTTCTCCACTGGGGATGTGTGTTCCTGTTCGAGAAAGAAGGGTCTCCCTTTCCCACTTCCACAGTTGGGGCACTCACGGTATTTGAGGTGTCTCCTGGGTCCTGCAGGAGCAGTCCGCTTCCTTCAGAGGGCCTGTGGGTCCTCTCAGAATTGGTAGTTTGTTCTTGCAGTCAATCTGGAGCTAAAATTCACAATGCAAGCCTCTCTATGCTGCTCTATCTGGAGCTGCAATCTAGTCCTGCCTCCCGTCCACCATGATCTGCAGAAGTCCCCCACTACAATATTTTAAAAAGAAGTATATTTGGTACACAAAGACAGAAGGTAAAATAGAACCATATGAAAATGCTCAGTTAAAATCAGAGAAGGCTGTAAAAGAGGAGATAAGAAACCAAGAACAAATGCAACAAATGGAAAACAGTTACACGCGTGGTAGATATTAATCTATGTTTTAATCACTTTAAATGTAAATAATCTAAACACAGCAATTAAAAGCAAGGTAATCTCATAATGGAGAAACAAGACCCAACTTCTGTTGTCCTCAAAAAGGAAAACAAAATAAAACTCTAAAGAATCAGCTATGTTAAAAGAAAAAATATTGAGAAAGATGTGCCATGCTAACTCTAATCAAAAGAAACCTAGACTAGCTAAATTAATTTTAGACAAGACAGGCTTCAGAGCAAAGGATATTATCAGGGATTAAAAAAAAGGTCAATTTGATAATGATAACAACTATACAAGAAGATGATATATAAATTATATTATTAAAAGATAAATATATAAAATTATATAATTTATATATGTTATATATAACTAGATTTATATTTTATATAATTATATAAACAGCCCAGCTTACCTCAAATTTAAATTGTATCAAATTTAGCTTAAACAATGCAAACATGTTATCTTATAGTTCTTAGGTCCAAAGTCTGACACAGGTCACACTAGGATGAATTCAAGAGCTTAACAGGGCTGTGTTTCTTTCTAGCTCTAGGTGAGATAGTTTTTCCACACATTTTTATATCCTAGAAACATCCTGTATTTCATGGGTCATGTCTCTCTTTCTCCGTCTTCAAAGCTAATAAAGGCAAGGAGAGTCCATCTCATATGTCAACACTCTGATCTCACTCACTCAATTAAAAATAAAATCCTAAGCACCCCAACTGACTGAAGGGACCCCCTCTTGGCCAAAGGGACCCAAGAAAAACCTTAAAAACTAAATGTCCAGCCATGACTGGAGGGAGGTAGGACTTGTCTTGTTACACCCACTCCTTTTTGGAGTTTAGGCACAACTGACCAGCATTTAAGCATTCCTTTGTACTTACTTCAAGCCTTTAGACAAAGCTTAACACTTTGAACAAACTGCAAATTAAAGAACCTGTGACTCCACCTACAACCTGTAAACTCTTGCTTCAAGGTATCCCACCTTGTGGGGCTGAATCAATGTATATCTTCCATGTACTAATTTATAGTTTTTCCTACAATTCCTGTCTCCCTAAAATCTATAAAACCAAACTGCACTTTGACTACCTCAGGATCACTTATTGAAGGCTTCTCGGGTTTATCCTTTTTTCTAGGCTGTGGTCACTCATATTGGCTCAGAATAAACCTCTTTATTTTCAAAGTTTGGGTTTTTCATTAACACTTTTGTAATCACGTTTCCTATCTAACCATGAACGCTTCTGCCCCTGCCTTTAACTCTTAGGTGCACTTGTGATTACATTAGGTCCATCTGGGTAATCTAGGAATCGTCTCCTCATTTTTAGGCCAGCTGTTAGCAACCTTAATTCTACCTGCAAGCTTAATGTTCCTTTTCCAAGAAAGGTAACATATTCACAAGTTCAAAAAATTAGGACATGAGCATCTTTGGGGGTCTGCTGACTACAGTTTATCCTCAGTCCCCCAAAGATCAATGTCTTTTTTACATGCAAAATATATTTACCTCAACCCGTGGTTCCTGAAATTCTCCACCTATTACTGCATCAACTTGGTGTAAAACAAGGTCATCAAGACAACAGTTCCAAAACTCATTATCTATATCGTCTAAGTTAGGTGTGAGTGAGGCTTTGGGGACTTGTGAAATGAAACAACTCACCTGCTCAGAAAATACAATGGTGGAACAAACATAGAATAACATACATTTCTGGTCAAAAAGGGAGAAAATGGAACAATAAATGAAGTCACCTGTTTAAAGCAACTTCAAAATTTTCCCTGACACACTGTATTTGGTTTTAAGGCCTGGGACTGAAACTTTGGGGATCATATATCCATTTTCATAAGAGGTAGCATGTTTTTGCATGTAAGTAGTGTTACTAGCTGCTTTCCAGCCTGTGGAATTTTAGGGACCCAAGGGGTTTTTTAAAATTTCATTCTCCTTCTGTTGCTTTCAGTTCAAACTGGCAGCATCTTTGTTTGTATAACATTCTCAAGCACGCTGTGAGTCACTGGGGTATATCAAGAAGATTCACTTTATTAGACAAATCCCTAGTCCTGGCTTCTGCTTGGATGACAATCTCTAAGTCACATGGTTAATCTCTTCAAAGAGACATTGATGTGACTGAATACTCTGTTTTTCATACTTCTGAAACATTAGCAAAATGTTGTCTCTCAAATTCGCTCCAAAACTTGTTTTTCTGACTGTAATTATCTGGAATCTGAATGGCTAATTTCCCTAATAATTAAGTTCTGGTTCTTACTTGCTTAACAGTTCTTCCCTCGAACTACCTTTCTTCTCACATTTTAAAATAAACAGTATACATCTCCCAACGTTTACCGGGAATTCTCTTTGCATAAATATCAAAACTTACAAGCTTTGCTCTTCAAATATAATTTTTCTTGAGAGCAGGCTTTTGTTAATGGGAATACAATGTTCTGCATTTCCCAATGACTACTTCTAACCTCCCCATGCTAGAGGCATGAAGAGATTGTTTTTTCCTAATCTTCTCTCTGAGAACCTGGTGGATTTCAAGGTAAACCTTATAAAAGTGTGCCTCTTGCCCCATTCCCCAAGACTCAGTCTTAGTGATTTTGAGATCATCCACACTGAGCCTCCTTCAATTTGTCAATCATAACTCAACGTTTCTATTAGTACAGGCTCTACTGCTGGGCTTCTGCTCTTAGTAAACTGTGATTCTCTATACTGCTTGTCCCTACAACTTTGGGGACAGCAGCTTGCTTTGTGACCTCAATTCTCTGATGGATCTAAGAAGGGTTGTTGATTTTCAGATTCAGCTTATTTTTTTTTTTATTATGAGCGCAGAAGCAACAAATTCCAAGCTTTTACATGGAAACTGGAAGTGCCCTGAATTCATTTTTTTTTTCTTTTTTAGTAGAGATGGGGTTTCACCGTGTTAGCCAGGATGGTCTCGATCTGCTGGCCTCGTAATCAGCCCATGTTGGCCTCCCAAAGTGCTGGGATTACAGGTGTGAGCCACCGTGCCCGGCCCTGAATTCAGTTTTTTTCATAGCATTTCTGTTTTACCTCACAATAGTGCATAGGCTTACCTGTGCAATATCACTTGATCAGATTACTTACAATTTTCAACAGTATCAACCCAGAATATACAGAAATAAATACCTTTTCCTAAAAGAATTAGATTACCATATGAAACGAATTTTTCAGTCCCTTTTCCATTATTTTTAATTTTTGTTTTATTTATTTATTTATTTATTTGGAGTTGGAGTCTCACTCTGTCACCCAGGCTAGAGTGCAGTGGCATGATCTAGGCTCACTGCAACCTCCACTTCCCGGGTTCAAGTGGATTCTCCTGCCTCAGTCTCCCAAGTACCTGGGACTACAGGCACGTGCCACCACGCCCAGCTAATTTTTGTATTTTTAGTAGAGACAGGGTTTTGCCATGTTGGCCAGGCTGGTCTCAAACTCCTGATGTCAGGGGATCTGCCTGCCTTGGCCTCCCAAAGTGCTGGGATTATAGGTGTAAGCCACCACACCTGGCCTCTGTTATTTTTAATAACTTTCTATTTTGCAGTAATCGTAGAGATCACAAATAGTCGCCATCACTACACATGATGAAGTTGCATTATGGACAGTGTCTTACTGTTTTAATTTATAGTGGTGCACAAAGTGCTTTTCTCAACATTGGAATAAAAAGCCAATAATATGGAGTTTCTGCCTTCGTGTGAACCTAATTCTGGTAAAGGAGATAAATTTTTGCAGCTGCAAAAGTATTAAAATGTGGTAGGTGAGGAATAATAATGGCAAAGTTTCTGTATTGGAAAATTAGCACCATGGCGCATAAGTTGGAATTTATTACCAGGTATGTGGGAGAAAAAAGAAAACAAAAAGCACAGATAATTTGTAAAAATAAAGATATTTTCCTGAGGATAGAAGAATCCAGTAGAGATATTCCTACGTTGAGTCTAATTCAAATCAAGATGGATAAAGTAGGTTAAGTAGAAATGACAGATCCCCTCAGAAAAATCAACAAATTAGCTTTGTACTGATGATATAAGAAGAGCCTGGGTCAAATAAGTCATCCCGAAATAGGCAGTAATTCAATAGTTCCAGAAAAAGATCCATCCTGTGAGACTTGAAAGATGACAGTTTGAAGGGTTGAGAGGCTTTAAACTAAGCAATTTGGGCTGCGATCATAATAGATTCAAATGTAAAAACAAAGAGGGAGAGTGTAGTGAAAAGGAGAATATTGTCAGAAATCTGTAAACAGTCTACTTTCCATAATAACAATGTAAGGTGCCATGAATTAATATGAATAGTGTCTGGAAGGATGGGACTCACACCAGTGGTCTACAGTAGACAGATGGTCCCTGACATAATGATAAATTTTCAACTTTATGATGGTACAAAAGCAATATTTATTCAGTAAAAACTTTACTTATAATTTTGATTTTTGATCTTTTCTTGGGCTAGTGATATGGAGCATGATACTCTGTTGTGATGTTGGGCAGCAGTCGTGAGCCACAGCTCCCAGTCAGTCATGGGATCCCAAGATGAGTCTACAGGTGGTTTTGCCCAAATGGAGACAAATGTAAGTATTCTGAGCACATTTAAAGTAGGTTAGGCCAAGCTATGGGGTTTGATAGGTTAGGTGTATTAAATGCATTTTTGGCTTAGAATAATTTAAATTTGTGATGTTTATCTAGATTGCTAGTCAATGTGTATCTGTATTCTGAAACACAGAGAAGACATGTTTTGTTGTTGTTATTTTGTATTTAATTTTGTTCTACATGCCGGGGTACACGCACAGGATGTCCAGGTTTGTTACATAGGTAGATGTGTGCCATGGTGGTTTGCTGCACCTATCAACCCATCACCTAGATATTAAGCCCACCATCCATTAGCTATTTATCCTGATGCTCTCTCTCCCCCTGCTCCACCTTCCCAACAGGCCCCATTGTGTGTTGTCCCCCTCCCTGTGTCCATGTGTTCTCATTGTTCAGCTCCAATTATAAGTGGGAGCATGCGGTGTTTGGTTTTCTGTTCCTGTGTTAGCTTGCTAAGGATAATGGCTTCCAGCTCCATCCATGTCCCTGCAAAGGACATGATCTCATTCCTTTTTATGGCTGCATAGTATTCCATGGTGTATCCATATCACATATTCTTCATCCAATCTATCATTGATGGCCATTTAGGTTGATTTGCAGAAGACATGTTTTTCATTAATTTTACAGCAAGAAGATAGAGGAAAAGAAAGGCTAGCCATTTGGAGCAGGTGGTATAATATTAATGAAAGACTAAGAATAATTGGGACGATTTGAAAGCAAGGCAACCTCAATATGAGCATCCTGCAATCTCATAAAACAGTTACATAGCTAGTTATAATTTTTTTAAGTTGACAATAGAGTAGTTGATGATACTCATTACATTTCAAAGTAAACTTCAGTCACAGTGAATGCCTAATAGTTTCAAATGTATGTGTGCTTGTGTGGCATAATGCTGGTTTGCCTGTATATACTTTGGTTCTTGATTTCTGGTTGTTCCTGTTGTTGTTATTGTTGCTGTTGTTCTTTTATATTCACCACGGAAGCTAAACTCAGTGGTGTGTAAGTTAGGGTTTTTCTGTGGACCAATTTGTTGTTAGTTCTTGCTTTAGTGTCTGAATAATCATAAATTATCAGGGAGTACATGAATATAAATGTAGAATGCGCTACTTCAGGTAATATTTTTACCTTTTAAAAACTGTCAAACATTGCTTTTTATTTTTATTTGTGTAATAATGCTTAAAATATACTTAAATTTGTGGTCGTTTTTTCAACGGTATTTTTGAAAATAAACTACAAAGACTAGGCATTAAAGCAGTTTAGTCTATTTTTCTTTAATGAAATACACATACATTTTAAATATCAAAATCAAACATTAAGAAAGAAATCTTAGAATTAACATAGACATGATATTATTGATATATTAATATCTAAATAAGAGCCAATTACTTAGATATAAAATTGCTCTAAACAAATGTAACTGTATCGGATTTTGTGTCCAAGCTATATTTATTACAGATGATGGAATCCAAACTCAAAGCAGTCATTAAAATCGACTTTTCAAAGTAGAAAAAACTAATTAAATTGTCTATTCTGTTTACTTTTCCATCCCTCCCCCTCTCCTTTTCCTCTTCTCTTCCTTCTCTACCTCTCTCTTATTTTCTCCCTCCCTTCCTCCTTCCTTCTTTTTTTCCTAACTTCCTCCTTCAGAGGCATCTGCTGCTAAATGGTCATTCTGCTTTTTTATATTCTATGCCCAACCAGTACCCATACGTTTATCTGACTTTGAGAGGAAAATTTCTGAAAAATACAAGGGAGGAACAGAAGAACATACAAAAGAAAGGAAAGTTTAATGTATGTAGCTCATCCCTTACAAATTAGTGAAAAATTTCTTAAAACGAGAGTCCCAGATCCACAGTGCATTTTTTGTTTCTCCAATGATCTAAACCCTTATGTTTGCATTTTTCTTTTTATTTTGAGGTATAATTTTGACATATTGAAACGTCCACATTTTATGGGTATACATGAATTAGTTTTACTTATATATACATCAGTAATTCTATACACATTGAAGATTAGATGTATAAAACATTATGTATATATGTAGTTTTACTTCATTGTGATTTTAAACTGTATTTCCTAGACACATAATGAAGTTTAGCATTTTTGTGTCTGCTTGTTGCTCTTTTGAATGCGCTCTTCTGTAAACCATCTATTCAAGTGTTTTACCCAATTATTAAATTGTATGCCAATTCTACTTTTCTAATTGATTGGTAGTTTTGTATTGGTTTCTAGTTGTCTTTGTATAATTTATTCTGAATAAGACTTTGAATATTTACTCCCACTCTGTGACTTCCCTTTCCATGTTTCCAATTTCAACATTGCATAAAAAATAAATTTACTTTTGTTTCTGTTTTATTATTTAAGATTGTTTACATACACTTCTCATGCTTTACTGAGTTAATGTATTATTCATTATTGTGGGAATTAATAATATAAATTTCAACAATGTTTAATATATTCAACAATTATATAAACAGTTCAACATACACAGTTATGCATCACTTCTTATATGTACCTATTTTTAGCTCAACACTATTGTGATTTAGCTCAACACTATTGTGTAGGAATCAACTACAGGGAAATTACTCATAAAAGTAGGTCCTTTGCTTTAACTTCAAGAACTGTGCTCCTTAAATTGATGGAGATACAGGTCTATTTTTTCAATCACTGTATTTCTTAAAAGTAAACTGGAAATATTTCTGAAATGAAGATTCTATGAGTTTTAAAATCTAGTGTTATTGATTTAAGCAAGAGGTATGAAATGTTTGGAAAGTGCTAGCAAGGAAAATAAGGGTATTTCATAGCTAAAAAAAAAAAAACTACTGATTTATTACTTTAATTATACTTTTACAATTAGAAAAAAAAACTGAAAATTTTTGTTTAAATAATTATTCTATTACTAGATTTATTAGTAGATAAACTCCATAAAATGGTCATGTTAATAACATTACATAAAAGTAAGAATCAATACAAAATTCCCAATGATGTTTGCTTTGTTTCTATTACATTCTCTTGCATTTTCTTTCTTGAGAAGGCAGAATACACTAGAATAACTGAAACTAAATTATTCATGCTTTCCCTACCTCAGGTAATTTTTCAATAAAATAACTGGAATATATAAACAATGCACATAATTTATCTATGAATGGTGATGGGAAGGCAGAATTATTAATAATTTTTAACACCATTTTTTCTGGAGGTTCCAGAAAACTTTCTAGCAGATATAATTATTCAGCTAATATTTATTCAATTCCTAGTAATTTCAAGGTCTTATGAGAGCAATAAAAATAAAAAGATATTACCTATCTTTTAAAAGATGGGTAGCTAAAAGAATAAGATTGTATAAATTATAATATAAAGGGTAGAGTAAGGGAGATACAAACACCCATGCAAAGAGAAAAAGGTACAAACACTACTGCAAGAAGAAATGCATTTAGATTACAATGGGGACATTAAAGGGAGAAGCTATCCCAATTTGTTTAGAAAATAGATTCAGCAAAGGAAAGGTTTAACTCATTCATGAAGTGTAGGTTGGCATTAGGTGGTTGGGTGTAGAGAATAAGATGTTCTAGCTAAGGCAGAGAACATAAGAAAACTCATAAGGGTATGAACAGGGGTGGAATTCTTAGGAACTTCCAGTTAATTTGGTATATCAGTGTGCATAAATTTGGGAACAAACAAGGAATGAGTTGGAGGGGTTGTCTGTGGCTGCTCTAGATTTTAGATTGAAGGAAATAGAGGGTATTATGCATGAATATACATGTTTAGTTTGGAATGTTGATAAGATCACTATGGGCAGTGGTCAATCATGGCAGCAGGGATAATAAATAGAATGGTAAATCACTATAGATGCTAAGACTTAGAGCTCATCTTCCCAATTCACATCCTAGGCTTTACAAAAGGCAAAATGATGGACTCTGTTTTCTGGAGCTCTCCTGCTGACACTATCATTAAAATTTAACTATTTATGTACCCCTGCATACAGAGACAGGTCTATAGGAGTAATTTTAGAAAAAGCCAAAATTCCCATCTAATTACTGCTCTCCAGAAACATCCTCATATCCATCAGCTTATGTTGTTTTTTCTGGGGACCACTATATACAGGTATCTGAAAAAATGCCACATGCAGGAGTGATTGATATTAACAAAATATATAACAAAATAATATCAAAATAATGAAAATAATCAGAACAAACATAGAGAAAGGGTGATCATAATAGAGTGACCATAAACAGTGAACACAGTCTGAGAAATAAATGCAAAACAGGTAGAAGAGATGACTGAGAGAAGCTTATACTGATAGATCAGTAAAATCCGGACTTGTGCCTCTTTATTCTTTTTTATTCAAAAGACAACATACTCAGCTTTACCTGGAATACTTGGACTACCGCATACATTTGTTTCGCCTGTTACTCAGTCTAATTTTCAGAAACAGCTAAGAAGAGAATACTCAATACAAATCCATTTGGAAAAGAAGCAGATTAAAAATGCAACATAATTAGAAGAGACGATTTTGAATGTTAATAACACAAAGGCATTATAAATCTTGGAGGTGATGCATAACTGCCCTTAATTGACCATTAAACATTTTATCATGGATCAAAATATCATTCTGTATCCCATAAATATATACAGTTACTATGTGTCAAATAAAAATCAAAGAAAAAATACAATGTAAGAATCAAGCATGCAAACTAGTATACATACAAATAACATCAATTGTTGTGGAATGGAGGGTGATGACGTAGAAAATCTAAGAGTAAGAATAAGAGATATCACTGAGATATATGAACCTAGAGACCTAGGCTTACTCATCTTTACATCTCAATACCTAACATAATTCTAGACACATAGAAAGTGCTCAAAAAAGATCCACTGAATGAATGAATCGGGAATGTTTTATAGCATACTGGATGCACTTCTAACATGTTAGTATAATGATGTTATTTTTATTTTTGGGTGGGAGATAGGGAGAGTAGGTGCTTCATGTTAAAAAAAAAAATCACATTTGTCCAGCCCTGAGTGATATAGTTTTAGTGTTTAGTTTTATTTTGTTTTGCCATATTTCACATAAGTTTAAAATGATAATTATCAAATGGCTTTAGATTCCTCAAGAGTAAGAATATTACTATTTTCTTAAATAAAAACATGATATGCTGTCTGTATTTCATTTGCCCCTCAAGATTAAGTCTCTTTCTTTCCATCCAACTCTTCCCAGGAAACTGACCTATAGTGATTACATCAGCTTGTTCTCCTTCCCTGTGGCTTCCTATTGGATATAGCCAAAGGAGAACAGTGCTCAGAAATGCCAACAAGGGGGAGAAGGTTAAGGTACATATACCTCTGGCATCTTCCCTGCAGATTATTCAGGGCTGGCTGCATTCCTGTCGGGAAGCTACCTTCGCACCCCCCTCTGCTCCCTCCCTTGTCTTTTCAAGCCTAAGGTTAATAGCATAACCTCACTGCTACTAGTCCCAAATTGCTGCAATATCTTTGTGATTTTCCTATACCCTGCACAGATGCTTTATTATACTCTCTTCAAATTATTCAATTGCATTTTGACATTCATTTCCCTTTAAGATCCTGACAGATGCACATGATAATAAATATTAATAGAACACATCTAATTTGACATGACTTTGATAAAATATTCAATGTTTATAATGGATATGCATATGACCACACACAAATAGAGCCATAAAGGTTATGTGTATATTTCAGTTTTAAGATTTTGTCTCATTTATATAAATTTTTCATTCAATTGCTGACAATCTCTCAAAAGACACAGATACATATAATCTTAGCATGGATTATGTAAAAAATCAATAATGGTTGCTGCTAAAAATAGAAAATGCACTTAGAAATATCTGTGAAATCAGTGCCACTCAATTTTATGAGTATATATTCATAAATGAGTTTAATGGAGGCAACAGGTTGTGTAAATTATACCACTTCTAATAAGGGTACGACTCACAAAACTGGAGCTCAGTATTGTCAGGTGATCTATGTGATATGGATTGGTTCTGTGTTTTCAACCAAATCTCATCTTGAATTGTAATTCCCACGTGTCAAGGAAAAGACCTAGTTGGAGGTGATTGGATCATGGGGGTGGTTTCCCTCATGCTGTTCTCATGTTAGTGAGTTCTCACAAAATATGATGGTTTAAAAGTTACAGCACTTCCCCAACCTCTCTCTCTCTCTCCTGCCCCCTTGTGAAGAAGGTGCTTGCTTCTCCTTTGCCTTCTGTCATGATTGTAAGTTTCCTGAAGCCTCCCCAGCCATGCAGGACTGTGAATCAATTAAACCTCTCTTCTTTATAAATTACCCAGTCTCAGGTAGCTCTTTACGGTAGTATGAGAACAGACTAATACAGAAAATTAGTACCTGGAGCTTGGGGCAGTGCTATAAAGATACGTGAAAATGTGGAAGAGACTTTGGAATTGGGTAACTAACAGAGATTGGAAACGTTTGGAGGGCTCAGAAGAAGACAGGAAGATGTGGGAAAGTTTGGAACTTCCTAGAGTTTTGTTGAATGGTTTTGATCAAAATGCTGATAGTGATATTGAGAGGTGACAGCATGCTGGCAGCCCTCGCTTGCTCTTGGCGCCCTCTCGGCCTCGGTGCCCACTCTGGCCGTAATTGAGGAGCCCTTCAGCCCGCCGCTGCACTATGGCAGCCCCTCTCTGGGCTGGCCACGGCTGGAGCCGCCTCTCTCTGCTTGCGGGGAGGTGTGGAGGGAGAGGCGCGGACAGGAACCGAGGCTGCGCGTGGCACACACAGGCCAACGCGAGTTCTGGGTGGGCACAGGCTCGTCGGCCCCACACTGGGAGCGGCTGGCCAGTGCCACCAGCCCCGGGAAGTGAGGGGCTTAGCACCCTGGCCAGCAGCTGCAGAGGGTGCGCCAGATCCCCCAGCACTGCTGGACCGCCTGTGTCACGCTTGAATTCTCACCAGGCCTCTGCCACCTCCCTGCCGGGCAGGGCTTGGGACATGCAGCCACCCGTGGGCTTCTGTGTGGCCTGAGCCTCCCTGATAGGTGCCGCCCCCTGCTTCATGGTGCCCGGTCCCATCAACAGGAGTGCAGGCATGCAGTGTGGGACTGGCAGGCAGCTCCGCCCATGGCCCCTGCAGGGGATCCACTAGGTGAAGATAGCTGGGCTCCTGAGTCTGGTGAGGTCTTGGAGAACTTTTATGTCTAGCTGGAGGATTGTATATGCACCAATCAGCACTCTGTCTATCTCGGGGTTCGTGGATGCAGCAATCAGCACTCTGTATCTAGCTAATCTGGTAGGGACTTGGAGAACTTTCATGTCTAGCTAAAGGATTGTAAAATACACCAATCAGCATTCTATGTCTAGCTCAAGGTTTGTAAAGGCACCAATCAGCACCCTCTGTCTAGCTCAAGGTTTGTAAACGCACCAATCAGCACCCTGTCAAAACAGACCAATCAGTTCTCTGTAAAATGGACCAATCAGCAGGATATGGGTGGGGCCAAATAAGGGAATAAAAGCAGGCTGCTGGAGCCAGCAGCGGGAACCCACTCTGGTCCCCTTCCACCCTGTGGTAGTTTGTTCTTTCGCTCTTTGCAATAAATCTTGCTGCTGCTCACTCTTTGGGTCTGCACTACCTTTATGAGCTGTAACACTCACCGTGAAGGTCTGCAGCTTCACTCCTGAAGCCAGCGAGACCATGAACCCACCAGAAGGAAGAAACTCCGAACAGGTCTGAACATCAGAAGGAAAAAACTCTGGACACACTATCTTCAAGAAGTGTAATACTCACCGTGAGGGTCTGCAGCTTCATTCTTGAAGTCAGTGAGACCAAGAACCCACCAATTTCAGACACAATATGGACAATGAAGTCCAGGCTGAGGTCGTCTCAGATAAAGATGAGAAACTTAATGGAAACTGGAGTAAAGGTCACTCTTTTATGCTTTTGCAAAGAGACTGGTAACATTTTCCCATGCCCTAGTGGTCTGAGGAACTCTGAACTTGAGAGAGATGATTTAGGGTATGTGGTAGAAGAAATTTCTAAGCAGTAAAGCATTGAAGATGTGCCCTGACTGTTTCTAAAATATATAGTAATATGCATTCACAGAAAGATATCTGATATTGGAGTTTATGTTTAAAATGGAAGCAGAGCATAAAAGTTTGGAAAGTTTGCAGCCTGACCACGTATAGATAAGAAAAACCCATTTTCTCAGAAGAAATTCAATCCAGTTGGAGAAATGTGAATAAGTAACAAAGAGCCAAATGTTAATAGCCAAGACAATGTGGGAAATGTCTCCAGGGCATTTCAGAGATCTTGACTGCAGTCCCTCCCATCACAGGCCTGGAGCCCAGGACGGGAAAATGGTTTCATGGGCCAGGCCCAGGGACCTGCTACTCTGTGGAGCCTTGGAACATGGTGTCCTGCATCCCAGTCACTCCAGCTCCAGCTATGACTAAAAGGGGCCAAGGTACAGCTAGGGCTGTGGCTTCAGAGGGTGCAAGCCCCAAGCACTGGCAGCTTCCACGTGGTGTTGAGCCTGTGGGTGCAGAGAAGACAAAAGTTAGGGTTTGGGAACCTCCAGATAGATGTCAGAGGATGCGTGAAAATGCCTGAATATCCAAGCAGAAGTCTGCTGCAAGGACAGAGCCCTCATGGAGAACCTCTACTAGGGCAGTGCAGTGGGGAAATGTAGGGTGGGACCCCCATCTGGAGCACTGCCTAGTGGAGCTATAGAGGAATACCATCCTCTAGACTGCAGTATGGTAGATCCACTAACAGCTTCCACCATGAACCTGGAAAAGCTGCAGGCACTCAACACCAGCCTATGAAAGCAGGCGCAGGGGCTGTACCCTGCAGAGCCACAGGTGTAGAGCTGCCCAAGCCCTTGAGAGCCCACCTCTTAGATCAGCATGCCCTGGATTTAAGACATGGTGTCAAAGGACATTATTTTGGAGTTTTAAGATATAGTGACTGCCCTGTTGGGTTTTGGAATTGCATGGGGCCTTGTAGCCCCTTTGTTTTGGCCAAGTTCTCCCATTTGGAATGGAAGCATTTACCCAATGCCTGTACCTTCATTGTATCTTGGTAATAACTTGCTTTTTATTTTACAGGCTCATAGGTAGAAGGGACTTCCCTTGTCTCAGATGAGACTTTGCGCTTTTACTTTTGAGTTAATGCTGGAATGAGTTAAGATTTTGGGGGACTGTTGGGAAGGCGTGATTGGTTTTCAAATTTGAAAAGGGCAACTTGAAGGAAACTCTTTTTTGTGAGGGGCCAGAGGCAGAATGACATGGTTTGGCTCTGTGTCCCCACCCATCACATCTCAAATTGTAATCCCTACATGTCAAAGGAGGGACCTTGTGGGACGTGACTGGATCATGGGGGAGGTTTACTCCTTCCTGTTCTCGTGATAGTGAGTGGATTGTCATAAGTCCTGATGGTTCAAAAGTGTGGCACTTTCCCCACCCCCCACCCCTGCCACCTTGTGAAGAAGGCGCTTGTTTCTCTTTTGCCTTCTTCTATGATTGTAATCTTCCTGAGGTCTCCCCAGCCATGCAGAACTATGAGTGAGTCAAGTAAACCTCCTTTCTTTATAAATTGCCCAGTCTCAGGTAGTTCTTTATAGCAGTGTGAAAATGGACTAATATACTGTGTCTTCATATACATAAAAATAGACCTCTGTTTATGAATGTATTGGACAACCGAAAGTAAAGACAATTATGAAGATTGGAGATAAGTATAAAGTTATCTTTGGAGATAATTTTGAGGAACCTTAAAAATACTTGAGACTTCTATATATAATATTAATGGGGAAGTAATCCATTCCTCCTGCCCCACTATCACTACTGAAGTGAGTAACTGAAATTTAAGAATTAAAGGGGACCCCCCAGGGACCCTGAAACTTGAAAAGCTGTTGATCTGTGTGGCAGAATCTTCTACTTGAAGGAAGCAATAAAGTAGGGAATCTGCTGATTTGTAGCAATTTCTCCTAAAAACGATAGAGAGAAAATGTGGATACACAAAACCTCACTAATAGCCCCCAAATTGTAAGGAGTAAGGACTGGAGGAGGTGGCAAGCACAGTCCATATAAGGAACACTCTATTTTTCCTAGAAGGCTAAATGTAATGCAGCAGCAGGTAACCTAAAGCAGCAGCAGCAACTACTTTGTCCTTGATGTGGCAGTACCACCATCCTATTACAGTGGATAGGAAGCCGGGTACAGACACAACTTGCAACTGTTGTGGTACCTGGGATATGCAAAAAACCCAGGATATGCAAAATGAGCTCTCATACAGTGCACACAACAAAAGATTCATCAAAGAACTCTTGTCAAACATCTTCTGATAAGACAACCTATAGCTCCAACTCTCTTCCAACTCTTTTTATTTTAGCACAACACTGAGAGAGTAATGCAAATTTATATTAACAATTTAATTCAACCTACATTGAGTAGAGTCTAATGGTAATGAGGTGCACTGTGATGTTGGCAAAGAATCTCATTTCTCTTGCTTTTGGGCAGCTGTGACTCATAACATCTTTGTTTATTTAATGAGGAGTGAATTTTAAAACAAAAACCAACAAACAGCCTGGATCACCTAGAAAATTGTCCATCATAAAATCCAGAAAATATTTCATCGAAGATGCAGTATATAGAAATTTTTAAAAAAGATTACAAAACTGTTTTTGTTTGTGTGATTTTGCAAACAAAAGAGTTCTTCAATAGACTTAAAGAATATGTAGAGACAATAACAGAAAGTTGAAAGATTAGGATGTGAGATAGTAGGATATAGGAATTTGGAATTAAAGAGTTCATAGGTGAAAATCTTCAATGTAATGATAGTTTACTAAGTAATCTGTAGAAGTAGGTGGTTTAAGTAGATTAGAAGTGAAGCTCATTAGAGTTGAAAGAAAGCCAGAGACTCAGGTATGAATATTCTAGGTTCTTGAGGTCATTGAAAATGCTGTAATAAGAATCAATGACAAAGGTAAATTGGAAGCCAGAAACTAGAGAGAGAAAACTGTAGGGCAGCAGAGAGTAGCAACAGAAATGAGGAGGCGAGTAGGGCTAGAGATCAAGAGCCCTAAAAGGGTTTATATTTAGGAACAAAGGGGAAGGCATAAATTAAATAATCTATCATGTACACTGTAATATGACTGACATATCATGAGGGCTGTATATATAACAATATTCTTATATATCGTAATGCAGAATATCAGGTGTTTTATTTTACAGTGTTGGATGGATGTAACCATTTCTTAAGGACATTAGAGTGATATATAGGAAAGAATCACTTTTCCTCTGTGTTTGCTGTATACTGCCAATCATATAAGTAATATGTAGTAATAGTAGTATAAGATGTATAGTAGCACAGTATATGTTAAGATGCATTATTAGTAGTAGTAGTATTTAAAGGAAAACTGGAATATGAAGAAGTTTGAGAGATAATATATCTCATGTGCTGAATATTAGATTCCAGAGACCTAAAATATTACCCAATTTAATCTTTATAATAGCCACATTAGTTAGATATTATTATATCATTTTAAGGATAAAAAATTAAAGTTTACTTAATCCAGATCAAACTGATTCTAGATGTTGTGCTTTTACTTTTGTATCATTTCATCTTATTTCTTTCATTGTTACTTTTACCATGACTGATTTATTTCATAGAGCAAATTGTATTTTATTTGTTCTCCTCAAAAATAATTCTTACAGTTTAGTAGCTTATTTTACTGTTATGTCATACTGTTTGACTTAAAAGAGGGAATATAATATAGCGACGTTAAATTGAACTTTTAGTTAACCCAGACTGTAGGCCAAGTAAGCATACAATTTAAAATACTACTTTACAGAGTCTCTGGTGATTGAAACTTCATCAATTTTTAGTGTTATTTTTTGTGTATGGAAGCAATTGGTATTTGATTTAATATAAATATTACCTTGCAATACATTTGATTTTCACTTGTTAAATTTTCAATTATATTAAAATTGTTTATATGAACCAACTATAAATTTTAAATCTATTGCAATTTAGAGATTTAAAAATTGTGAAAACTTCTGTAAGAAAGATCTACCTTCTTCAATTCATGGTATAACTTCCCAAACTCTTATTAATAATAAGATTTTTCATAAGGTTATATCATGCTGCTAAAGCTAATATACCACATACTGATATGATGAAAAATAAATTCATAAGTTAAATTTTGTTTTAAGCTTAATGTTTCCAACTGTTTCTTATTGCAGTTCAGGAACAGGTTAAAAGTCCATACTGTTTTTTGCAACCTTTAACTTACAAAAATAACTTTCATATTTCAAATAAAATTGGAAAGTTTTGCTGAAATGAATCCCGATAATTCAATGTAATCTTGATTTAAATAATTAAAACAGTGTATTTCCTCTATCTGTCCCACCATTTTTAAGTACTTTGTGCATTTTGACGTATTTGTATAATATTCCAACTATAGGCCTTGTACGCAACAATAAAATAAGCACATCAGAGTTATACACAAATGCATACAACACATCACAAACACTTCCATCAACTGCTTTATGAAGCAATTATTCATGGTAGTGTGTATACATATATAGTAATTTTAAGGAGGGTCTCTATAGATCCTCCAAAAGCTTTACATTTTTTCCATCAGGTTTAAAGAGGCTAGCATTTTTAGATACAAATTTTTCTAACAGACATTTTTAATGCAATTCATAATAATCCTAGCAGTAGAGCAGAAGTCATAAATACAATCATTTTAAATGTTTCTAATTCATTAGAAAGTGTTGTCACTTTATTAAAATGTATTACCTAGGTATCAACAATCTCTCTCAATATTTGCATTAGAGATATAACAATTTTTCTTTACCTGCCTCCAGTTCTATAGTGAATTATAGTTATTCAGGAGCAATTCATTAAAAATAGCCTTCCTTCTGCTTGGTACAACCAACTAATGCTTGACCCTCAATCTTTTGTTTTGTTTTGTTTTGTTGTTTTACAAAAAAAAAAAAATTTATTTTTTTATTTTTTTAATTTATTTATATTTTTTTATTTTATTATTATTATACTTTAAGTTTTAGGGTACATGTGCACAATGTGTAGGTTAGTTACATATGTATACATGTGCCATGCTGGTGTGCTGCACCCATCAACTTGTAATTTGGCATTAGGTATATCTCCTAACACTATCCCTCCTGCCTTCCCCCACCCCACAACAGTCCCCAGAGTGTGATGTTCCACTTCCTGTGTCCATGTGTTCTCATTGTTCAATTCCCACCTATGAGTGAGAACATGTGGTGTTTGATTTTTTGTCCTTGCAATAGTTTACTGAGAATGATGATTTCCAGTTTCATCCATGTCCCTACAAAGGGCATGAACTCATCATTTTTTATGGCTGCATAGTATTCCATGGTGTATATGTGCCACATTTTCTTAATCCAGTCTATCATTGTTGGACATTTGGCTTGGTTCCAAGTCTTTGCTATTGTGAATAGTGCCTCAATAAACATATGTGTGCATGTGTCTTTATAGCAGCATGATTTATAGTCCTTTGGGTATATACCCAGTAATGGGATGGCTGGGTCAAATGGTATTCCTAGTTCTAGATCCCTGAAGAATCGCCACACTGACTTCCACAATGGTTGAACTAGCTTTCAGTCCCACCAACAGTGTAAAAGTGTTCCTATTTCTCCACATCCTCTCCAGCACCTGTTGTTTCCTGACTTTTTAATGATTGCCATTCTAACTAGTGTGAGATGGTGTATCATTGTGGTTTTGATTTGCATTTCTCTGATGGCCAGTGATGGTGAGCATTTTTTCATGTGTTTTTTGGCTGCACAAATGTCTTCTTTTGAGAAGTGTCTGTTCATGTCCTTCGCCCACTTTTTGATGGGGTTGTTTTTTTCTTGTAAATTTGTTTGAGTTCATTGTAGATTCTGGATATTAGCCCTTTATCAGATGAGTAGGTTGCGAAAATTTTCTCCCATTTTGTAGGTTGCCTGTTCACTCTGATGGTAGTTTCTTTTGCTGTGCAGAAGCTCTTTAGTTTAATTAGATCCCATTTGTCAATGTTGGCTTTTGTTGCCATTGCTTTTGGTGTTTTAGACATGAAGTCCTTGCCCATGACTATGTCCTGAATGGTAATGCCTAGGTTTTCTTCTAGGGCTTTTATGGTTTTAGGTCTAATGTTTAAGTCTTTAATCCATCTTGAATTAAGCCCAAAATCTCCTTAAGCTGATAAGCAACTTCAGCAAAGTCTCAGGATACAAAATCAATGTACAAAAATCAGAAGCATCCTTATACACCAATAACAGACAAACAGAGAGCCAAATCATGAGTGAATTCCCATTCACAATTGCTTCAAAGAGAATAAAATACCTAAGAATCCAACTTACAAGGGACGTGAAGGACCTCTTCAACGAGAACTACAAACCACTGCTCAATGAAATAAAAGAGGATACAAACAAATGGAAGAACATTGCATGCTTATGGGTAGGAAGAATCAATATCGTGAAAATGGCCATACTGCCCACGGTAATTTATAGATTCAATGCCATCCCCATTAAGCTACCAATGCCTTTCTTCACACAATTGGAAAAAACTACTTTAAAGTTCATATGGAACCAAAAAGGAGCCCGCATTGCCAAGTCAATCCTAAGCCAAAAGAACAAAGCTGGAGGCATCACGCTACCTGACTTCAAACTATACTACAAGGCTACAGTAACCAAAACAGCATGGTACTGGTACCAAAACAGAGATATAGACCAATGGAATAGAACAGAGCCCTCAGAAATAACGCCACATGTCTACAACTATCTGATCTTTGACAAACCTGAGAAAAATAAGCAATGGGGAAAGGATTCCCTATTTAATAAATGGTGCTGGGAAAACTGGCTAGCCATATGTAGAAAGCTGAAACTGGATCCCTTCCTTACACCTTATACATAAATTTTCTTTGTTAAAACTGTAGCTCAAACTGTGGGCCACAAGAATCAACAATATTTATTGAGAATAATTTGAGAGATTTTTGTCACAAATGTCTTTTAGGAAAAAATAGCAATAACAACAATGAACAGAAATATTGAGCCAAATATGGAAGATAAATAACAAACTTACAAATGCTTATTACAAAGGCAATCCAGATGAAGTATTATAAAACTCAATTTAGGCCAGGCGCCGTTGCTCATGCCTGTAATCCCAGCACTTTGGGAGGCCGAGGCAGGTGGATCACCTGAGGTCAGGAGTTCAAGACCAGCCTGGCCAACATGATGACACCCCATCTCTACTAAAAATACAAAAATGAGCCAGGCACGGTGGCACGTGCCTGTAGTCCCAGCTACTCGGGAGGCTGAGGCAGGAGAATCACTAGAACCTGGGAGGCGGAGGTAGCAGTGAGCCGAAATTGTACCACTGCACTCCAGCCTGGTGAGAGAGCAAGACTCAAAAAAAAAAAAAAACACCTTAGTTTAGGGCAATGTATGATTTACCACTCTAGACTATAAAATGGAATTTTCTGTCTGTCTGCCAGAAGCTTTCTTCTTGAATTTTATTTAGGCTTTTTATTATTTATCCTTTATAAAATATAACTCCTTACTTCAAGGCTGTATTTGATACAATGGCTTGTTTTACACGTTTACTGTCAGAATATATGTTCACTTGTACATTAACCATAGATATTTGCACGTTTATCATACTGATAATTTTGACCTCATAAGTATGGGGTTTCTGATTTTGTTTTATTAACTCAACCAATTTAAAAATGTATAGACTCTCAGAGTTAGCAACATCAACTCTAAGCTTTTCCCATAGAATCGATTTATGCTAGAAAAAAATGGGAGACTATAGGAAAATTATTTACAAATTAAATACAGGAAATTTATTTTTTTCTCATGAGAGTAGAAGTCATAGAATAACAAAAATGAATGAGTTTTGTGGAGGGAAAGATAAAAATAATTCAAAATAAGTGGGTAAATAAATTAAAATTAAGAAAGAAAAAATTCATGTACCATATTGAAAATGCAGATTCAAAAATTTTTAAATGCTCCTTAATAAAATCTGAAAGCTAGTGGAATTGAAGCCGTATATTAGACATTACTTTTATTTATATAAAGAACATTTATGTGCATGTGTGACAGAGCTTAAAATGTTCGAATCAACATACCAGAAATTATAATAAAAAACTCCAGAAATTTTTAAAAATGAAGATACCTTTATGTTTTTATTCTAAAATTAATACATATTAGTGACAAATCAACAATAGGGAAACTTATCAAGAGTAAAATAAAATTTTATCACAAAAATATCCATTGTTAACCCTGTAATGTTTGTATACTCATATCTTTTACTATGTACATCCTAACACATAGTAACATATTCCCAAATTAGAATAATAGTTAACATACTCCTCTGATTATGTAAACCTAAATTTTTAAATTGGCAATGCATCATGAACATGTTTCTAATTTAATAATTAGTAGAATTAGTATCATAGCGTTTCATGGTCCCATACTGTCAGATTATAGGGTTTTCTGAATTTTTGACATTTTAAACAATATTCTTCTTTGGAGAATATGTTAAAATGTACAGAATGATGAACTAACTGGTGTTGAAGAAGAGTGGGTAAGGTATGTGTACCTTTAGTATAAGTTTTATGGAATGTAGAATTAAGATACTGAAAAATTTGAAAAAAAATAGGTTTCAGTTGAATAGTGAGGCATCTCTCTACTGTAAAACTCAACAATGCCAAAAGGTTAAAACTCTCATTTATTTTAATCCTGGGTGTAATTTTCCTATAATTTATTTATATGTAGGTGCGCCATTTTTTCATGAATTTTCTTATCACTTTGAGATGAATTTTGATATAATTTTACTAATGTGAATTTAGTACTTCATTTTGGCTGGCTATGTATTTGTGCAGTGTGGCAATAACTAGCCACAATCTCCCTACTATAATTTCTCAAAATGATCAATTAGACTTTAATAAGAAAATATTCTTAACAGATATAATAGTTCCATGTGACTTAACCACGCAAAATTATTTATATTTCTCAGATTTAGTAAAAATAATAACTTAAGATGTGTTAGGTTACAATTACTTTAAAATTTACTTCCTAAGGAGGCATTATATTTTGAAGTAATTATAATCATTTTTACAAAATAACTGACAAGGCACTCTTTTATCTTGCTTCATGAGAAACGCAGGGGTTGGTCTGTAATGTACATTTGAGAATTAAAGCCATGAGTGCGGTGAAACTCAAGTGACTTTAACGTTCTTCAGGACTTCAGTTTTGAAATTAAAGATGCTAAACCTGCCACTTTTGTACTGCATTAAGCTGTTTCATAAGTCATCATAATGCATTTTTAACTTAACTTTTTAGGTTAATATCAGTTTTTAATTATGGAATTCAGAATTAATGCTAAATTGCTCCAGCTCCAATCCCAAATTTCCAATTTCACCTATACAAACCTATAACAAGTTATCAAGAAATAAAGAATGTGGCTAAATAGTTCACAGACAAACTTTAAGATACATGTTTTGATTCCATTTGCATAACTTGACTCAATATATGAGTCTGGTTTCTATTGCTACAGAGGTAGTCTATTAATAGAGAAACCCTTCTGTTTCAAAAAAACTAATAAATATTGATAGGCATACACTTGCACAAACATTTTCAGTAGTTTGTATTTAGTTAAAAATTTCATCTCTGCAATAAAGTTCAGCAATCTATGTGGAAGCTTGGTGTGTCTTAAACTCAGATTTATAAATGCTTGTCACACCAATAAAGTTCGATCATTTAAGTATTTTCTAATTAGGTAAAGGTTAAAGTCAAGCTTGGTTAATAAAATCCTTAGGCAAATAAATCATGTTAAATAGTTCACATTAATGTTGCATAGTTTTAAAAAGTCTCTAATATGTAAAACAAATAAGAATTGTAAACATCTATACATATTGTAGAAATTACCAATATTGAGGGTTATGATTTTATCTATATTTTGACATTTGTAAAATTTTAATCTTGTAGTTGAAATACATTTATGTTTACTAAGAGTAATCATGTTTTTAGTGTGTAGATATGTAAACTGTTAGTTATAAAGTAAAACCTTGAAAATAGTTTGAGATATGAATACTCCTGAGCATACAAATTCAGAGAGTTACATTAATACTGGTAATATCAATGAGTTTTTAAAAAATTTCTAGACCTTACATTGATTATTTAAATAATTAGTTATTTATTAGCCACATGATATTCTTCTTTTCTATTATTGAAGTAATGTGTTGCTGTGCATAAGAAATATTAGTTAAATTTCATAAGTTTAATGAACAAATAGTTGAAATGGGAAGATGAGGACACTCACAGAATCATCTTAAAATTTGTTTTATTTAGCTAATATGTCTCTTTATATGTATTTGAACATGTCTCAAAATGTAAATAAAACCAACAATTTGAAGGAGACTTCTCGTTTCATGTTTATACCATAGCTCTATATCTGAAAATAATAGTCCATAAGTATATGCATATTCTAAAGAGAATGCCAGCCCGGTGCATTGGCTGTCTATAATCCCGGCAAGGCTGAGGTGAGCAGATAACCTGAGGTTAGGAGTTCGAGACCAGCCTGGCCAACATGATGAAATCCCTTCTCTACTAAAAATACAAAATTAGCCAGGTGTGGTGGAGCATGCCTGTAATCCCAGCTACTTGAGAGGCTGGGGCAGGAGAATCACTTGAACCCAGGAGGCGAAGGTTGCAGTGAGCTGAGATTGCGCCATTGCACTCCAGCCTAGGCAAAAAGAGTGAAATTCCATCTCAAAAAAAAAAAAAAAAAAAAAAAAAAAAAAAAAAAAAAAGAAGCCAAGATGTTATAGTACTACTACACTGCATATAGCCATTCGGGTCTAACATATGTAATGATTAAAGGAAGATACACTAATTCCATGTTTATGTTAAAAACAGGAAAAAGTACATTATGTTATTCAAAATTAAAAACTTATAATAAAAAGTTGTGAAAAGTAGTTAAAAAAAGAAAGCCCAAATGATCATGAAGATCAGGACAGTGGTAAACTTTGTGGGGAGGGAGGCATTGCATTGGTAAGGTTGTGAAAGTAATTTCTTGAGCCAGGGGATCATTACATAGCTTTCATTTTATAATATTAGTGAAATGTGCAATTAGGTTCTACACATTTTCCATATGTACAGTATTTATACGATATAAAATTTTAAGAAACTGTTACTGGTTGAGGGTAGTTGTCCAGGTTCTTGTTGTTTAGAACGAAGAATTGGACGATATGCAGAAGCAAGGCACTCAAAGCAGAGATTTATTTTAAATGAGAGTACACACCACATGGTGCGTGTGGCCTCCAGCAAGGGGCTCAAGAGCATGAGTTACAGACTTTCTGGTGCTTAAATAACCCCTAGAGGTTTTCCATTGGTTCACTCTAGTGGCCTGCGACCAGTCTGATTGGTTGCCAGAGGGGAGAGGAGGCCCACAACCAGTCTGATTGGTTGCAGGAGGGAAGCAATCAGAGTTACTGTGATTTTTCAATTGCCTGGCAGCAACTGACCCAGCTAAAGGAGAATTTGAAAAGGGAGCAGCCTCTGATATCCAGTCAGCATGAGCCGGCCTTAGGTTCCCTGCCTGTAGACCCTATTCTCCTACCTTATAACTATTCGTGAGGGAATTTCTTGCTTATACTCTACCGAGTTTATAGTTTATTCAGAAACCTATTGTTACATACATTTAAGTCTGCATTCCTGAACAGTGTGCATTTGGAGGGCAAGAAACAGACAAATGGCTTTGGCTTTATAGCGTTATATTTCTCCTGATAGATCCGTACCTAACTAGTAGAGAAGTTACCTGATATTGACGCAGGGCAGGCAAGCCTCAAAATTGGAGTTTAGCCAGGGAGTGTTCTCTGCTTCACCCAGAAAAGAATTCGAGCATGAGCCCATGGTGATAGCAATATTTCATTGAATGGTACCGCTCCTTGAAGAACAGAGCTAACGCATAGGCAGTGTGCCGAATATCTGCAAAGTATGGGCTCTTAGCAACTGTATTTATATTCACATAAACTCACTTTCAACTGCATGCAAATTAAGGGTCAGGCCAATGCAAATCAAGGGGTAGTTTGTTTAGAACTTTCCAGGAAAGTTACCCTCATAGGGTCCGACTAGCAGTTAGCTATGAGGAATAAGAAGAAACTTCCTTGCTGAATAGTTCATCATAATCTGTGTTCTCTAACAGAATAGAAAATTTTAGCAGAAAAAGGAGTTGGTAGGCAGATATTTAGAAGGTTAGTGGTGACTTCCTGGTTATTGCCGTGGAAGGAGGTGGTAACTTCTGGGTCACTGCTATAGAATTTGTAAACTGTCATGGAGCTGGTGGGGGTGTCTTATGCTAATGAGTAATGAGGACAGCTAGGGATGGCTTTTTTTCTTCTTTTTTTTTTTTAACCATCTGCTGGTTCCTGTGGGTCTCTTCACTCTATCCTTCCTAAAACCAGATCCCATTTTGGTCAGCAGGGTTGTGACCAGAAAACAAATCCTGTGAGTTTCCTGCCTCAATACTATCAGCTACTCCTCTTGAAGACTAGTATGCTAAACACTGAATACTCATGGCTAGTGCGCTACTCTCCACTAAACTGAATACTTCTGTTCCACAAGTTGACTATGTTCCAAAGTTAGCTATGTTTGTTCATAGAGTAAGAGGTACCTTTTAAAAAATTATACTTCCTGATACAAGTACATAGTTTAATTAGCTATTATGTAAAAAAGTAAAATATGCCCCTGAAAAGAAGGAATGGTTTTTATAAAAGTTCAATGAAATGTTCTAAAAAAAGGTTTGTATGAAAACTTAGAGCATTAATTTTAGGAAACGGTTAAGGAGAACATCCATAAAGATCTAGGTGATTTCTCTATGCTTTGCAAGTATCTTTAATTTAATGTTATGTTTTAAATATCAAACTCTATGTTATAGGATATGTATTATGATTGTATTTTATATGGGGAAATGATATGGGATTCTAATCAGCAAAATCAAAGAAAAAACTTAGCCATGTATGATAGCCATTACATTTTTGTTTTCAAATAAAGGCTTGGTTTTTGAAAAAGACATGACATCCTATTATAATTAATGAATCAGTATGTGGCTTCAGTGTGGTTTCAAAGTTGTATGCGTGTGTGTGTGTATGCTTGTAAATTAAAAGTTTATATTTCTAAGTATAAGTTACTTTTTCACCTATCTGACTGAAGACTGCTTCTGATTCAATAACTTACCAGGGTTTTTATTGGACTCTCATTACTAAATCAATCATAAAATAAACAGTTGTGCATTGTTCTTTAGTCCTTAGATTTTTTTTACACAATGGATATTTTTTTCCACTTTGCTCTTCAATTTTTTTGGGAATATGCTCTTTATTGAATGAACAGTAATATATTTAATGAATACACTATACTTTTTAAAGTAATTTCTCCATATTTGGATATTTAAACCTCTAGTTCTGAATTTTCTCTTGGCATTTTCTTTACCTTTGAGGATGAAATGTCTCGAGTTTTCTGGGCAGTTTTTGGCCTCTTCATCGTCTTTGCATTTTCTAGCTATAAGAAGGAAGTGATCAACAGGCTCTGAATTAACTTTTCCCATTCCTGGGAGAATATCCACGGTCTTGCTTCGTGTGGCATTAATCGGCAAATATTTATCATTGCCTATGTTTGCCAAGCAGTTTTCTAGAAACTGATCCCTTGAAAACATATCTCTTGAGGAATATATCATTCTTTAAAAAAGTGGCTAAGTTACTATGTCTGTGAACTCAGTCCAGAAAGGCCCTTACAAGAGAAAAGAGAGTTGTGAGCTGACAGACTTAATGAAATGTGCTTAACGTATAAGTAAATTTGTCTCTGTTTTTACTCATAAAATTATCTATAAATTTCCTTATATGTTCCTTTTTACATTTTATGATTTTGTGTTGGTTTTTAAAATATATATTATTTAATTAGAATTATTTTAGTATGGAATTCCAGGTATAAATATAAGATTATTTTCGCAATACTTAACCAATTATTCCTGTGCCAGCTATCAAATAACCCACACTTTCCTTACAAATATGAATTGACATATTTATCACCCGTCGGTCTGGTTTTAGGTTTTCTATTCTGCGTTGTTCTCTGCCTGACTATTCCTATGTCTGTATTAAAATATCTTAATAAATGTAGTTTGTTAAAACACCAAGAATTCATGATTATTCTAAAAAATAATTAGGATTACATATTAGGTACCCCAAATAATAGTCATTATTATTTTACTATAATCACATTAGTAGAGCAAATTAATTTGAGAGCATTGCTATTTTTGTGCTATGTGGTCATCATATAAGCATACTTAATATGTTTTTACTTCGTTCCATTTTTCTTCTGTATATTGGAGTAAAATTTTAAATATTTCTTCTTTGGTTCCTATCCATATCTTGCTAATGTTATTATATATTAAAATCATTAGAATATGCTTATTTTTACTAAAGTAGCAAAGAAAACTATTGACATCTAAAGATTTATTTTTACAATGCCTTGTAATTAAACTTTCTGCTCAAATTTCATTCTTTCTCAAGGTATCAGAGCATAATGGAGACAATAGTATTGTTGCTTACTATAGATTCTTTAGTTTCCTTACTTCCTTGTCTCTTTATTTTCACTCTGTGGTATTTGCTGAAGTTTCAAAAACAGTATGAAATAATACTGTTGTGAAAGTGTATTAGTCCATTCTTACATTGCTATAAAGAACTACCCGAGACTGGGTAATTTATGAAGAAAAGAGGTTTAATTGACTCACAGTTCTGCAGGCAGTACAGGGGGCATGGCTAGGAAGGCATCAGCAAACTTATGATGATGGTGGGAGGGCAAAAAGGAAGTAAGCACATGGTGGCAGGAGAGAAAGAGCAAAAGGGAAAGTGCTACACACTTTTGAACAACTAGATCTCGTGAGAACTCAGTCACCATAATGAGAACAGCAAGGGGAAAATCCGTCCCCGTGATCCAATCATCTCCCACCAGATTCCTCTTCCAACATTGGGAATTACAATTCACATCAATTTGGGTGTGGACACAGAGCCAAACCATATCAACAGGCATAATTTTCTAATTGCTGATATCAGTGGAAATACCTCTACTTTAAGAATGGCAAATTAATTTTTAATTACAATGCCAAATCTAATCTACTAATAGTAGTTACTCTGATAAATGTGTTGTGAGGGTTTCTAAAGTGAGGTCTAAGCTAAACAGAAAATAATAGCATGGTTAGTTAACAATGTCTGTTATACATATGGAGGTAAAGAAGAAATAAAGTAACACCTATTTGCCATCCCTGTTTTAATATTTAACATTAATAACACAATATTTTGGAAGAAAATTTTAACCAGATTCATTAAAAGCTCTGAAATGTTCCAAATATTTCAAACTTTAAAATAATGTATACTAAAAATATTTTTTGATAGGATAAGAAAGAAAAGTTCTTTATGTTCAAGAAATCACATCACAATGTTATCATTACCCTTTTACACAGTATAGCCAAGGGTGATGATCTCAGAGCAACTCAGAGCAAATCTTTGACCTAATGACCTGGCTCATCCAGGCTTGTGTCTCTGAGGTTCAAAATATCCCGTGGAAGTAAGAAGCATTATTCATGTTTGAATTTTACTTTAATCCTGAAAATGTTCACCACCATAGAGAAAATGATATACAGTCATGCATCACTTAACACTGGGGACATATTCTGAGAAACATATTGTTAGGCAGTTTTTTCATTATTCAAACATCATAGAGTATATGTAAATAAACCCAGATGATATAACCTACTACACACCTAGGCTGTATATTATAGCCTGTTTCTCCCGGGCTACAAACCTGTATAGCATGTTACTGTACTGAATTCTGCAAGCAATTGTAACACAATGCCAAATTACACAGTAAAACTACAGTATAAAAGATAAAAAATAGTACACCTCTGTAGGAACATACATAAATGGAGCTTGCAAGACTGGAAGTCGTTCTGGGTAAGTCAGTGAGTGGGTGGCAAATGAAAGTGAAGGTCAAGGGCATGAGTGTATACTAGTCTGGACTATTTAACCACTGTTCACTTGGGCTACTCTATAAAAAACACGAATGTATTCTTCACGAATATATTAACCTTTACGTATTGTAACTTTTTTTACTTTCTAAACTTTTTAATTTTTTTAGCTTTCGACCCTTTTGAAATAACATTTAGCTTAAAACACACACACATTTTATAGCTCTTTAAAAATATTTTCTGCTTGGGCTTAATGGCTCATGCCTACAATTTCAGCACTTTGGGACACCAAAGTGGGAGGATAGCTTGAGGCCAGGAGTTCAAAACCAGCCTTGGCAACATAGTGAAATCTCATCTCCACAAAAAAATTTTAAAAATTATCCAGGCAAGGTGTTGTGTGCTTGTAGTTTTAACTGCTCGAAAGGCTGAGGCAGAGGATTGCTTGAGCTCAGGAGTTTGAGACTGCAGTGAACCATGATTGCCCCACTGCACTCCAGACTAGGTGACAGAGCAAGACCCTGTCTCTAAAAAGAAAATAAAAAGAATATATCTATATATATATATATATGTATACACACACACATATCTATATATTCCATATACATATATATGTGTATATACATATATATATATATATTCCACAGCTGAGTGAAACATCATCACTATGAGGCTCATAACTGTATAATATCTAGGTTGATTTAGGGTCAGGGAAGGGTGTTGATGTAACTTCAAAAATAAAATATAAATTCAGGAACTTCATTTATCATCTCAGCAGATAAGAAGTGAGAAAAAACCATATTATCTATTTTTGTATAACCACCTACCGTTAAACTTAGTGGCTTAATACATCATTCATTTCATCATCTATCAGGATTCTGTTGTTTGATAGGATCAGCTTGGTCAGTTCTTTTGGTGGCCTCACTTGAAGTCTTTTAAACAGTTGCCTATAGGCTTCAGCTGATGATGTCGTTATCTTGGGGCTCAAATGAGACACTGAAATGTTTGGGTCTCTCCTCCTAGATAATTGCAGTACCTCTACTTTTCACATGTTGTTTGCATGGGCCTTCGCACATGGTGTCTCTAGTAGGGTAGCTAGACTTTGCATATGGACAGTAAGTTTCCAAAATCAAAAGACCCAAGACAGATGAAACAGAAGCTGCTAGTCCTCTTAAAGGCAAAGACTGGCATTATGCCAATTCCACCATATTCTAGTGGTCACTGCAAGCCACAGATCATTTTTGGAGATTAGCTACCACAGTTCACCTTTTAGTCCCCAGAGATTCCTAACCTGCTCAGATAAAAAATATTCAGACCCAAGAACCCCACATGCCTCATTCTACTGTGGCATCAGGCTCAGTCAAGAAGCTCAGAACATCTTCATTTATTTACTTTAATTTATTAATATAGTTTTTAATTGACAAATTATAATTGTATACATTTATGGGGTACAATGTGATGCATTGTTATATGTATACAATGTGAAATTATTCAATCAAGCTAATTAATATGTCCATCACCTTATTATTTTTTGTGATGAGACATTTGAAATTTACTCTCTTAGTTATTTTGAAAAGCACAATGCAGTCTTATTGACTATAGTCACCACGTGCAATGGACCTCAAAACTTATTTTTCCTGTCTAACAAACTTTGTACCCTTTGACCAACTCCCCATTACTTTCTTTTCCCCACCTCCAGCCTCGGGTAACTCTCATTCTAATTTCTACTTCTATGAGTTCAACATTTTAAATTCCACATATAAGTGAGGTCACATAATATTTGTCTTTCTGTGCCTGGCTTATTTCACTTGGCATAATGTTTTCCAGTTTTATCCAAGTTGTCATAAATGACAGGAGTTCCTTCCTTTTTAAGGATGAATAGAGTCTGAGTGTGTGTGTGTGTATGCGTGTGTATATGTATGTGTGTGTATATATATATATACCTTTTGATCCATTCGTCTGTTGATGGACACTTAGGTTGATTATATATCTTGTGACTAATGCTGTAATGAACATGGAATTGCACATATACTTTCAACATACTGATTTCATACGTACCCAGAAGTGCGATTGCTAGATCACGTGGTAGTTCTAACTTTATCCTTTTGAGAAACTTTCATATTGTTTTCCATAATGGCTGTACTAATTTACATTTTCCACCAAGAGTAGTACATTTTTATATAAATGAGTTCAAGGTGTAAATGAGGTTTCCTGGGTAGTTAGAGCTCCTCCTGATCTGAAGACTTATGAACTAGAATGACAAGTTATCTGTCCCCTGAATACACAACATAAAATTATGAAACAAGTACAGGAGAACTGAATAAACAATAACAACAAGTGAGATGTAAAAATGAGAGGAATATAGCAGAGCCTGGTCCACTGCAATGCTAAAATCCAGCCAGGGTGACAATTGCCACTGTTCCATTGATTGGTCTCCAGTTTTATTCCCTGGTTCTCCTCAACAAAGCGCTGCCTACTGGGCTCTAAACTTCCATTTTCCATTAAAAAAAAAAAGGTCCATTTAGTTTCCTAGGCTGGTTCCTGCCTATAGAAAGTTGGAGGCTCAAAGATTTCTCTGCATTCTGAACTTTCTGCCCTCATTTTCAAGCTGTATACATTTCTTTGAAGGATTTCAAACTTTCTGTGTATCAAATTATAATTCACTTCATTAAAGAGAAGCCGTGCCCACCAATCTATCTGAGAGAAGTCTCTCTATCTTGAGCTAAGGGTCAAGTTGCTAAAGGATAACACTTTAAAGACTTTTAGAAGCTCTTTTATCTAGAAGAGAGGGTCTAAGGCCATGCTCATAAAATTCCTTAAAAAATTTGTCTCTAGCTGAGAGGATTTATGAAGCACCATCTTAAATCTTTCTGAGGTCTTACAAAAGAGCACTACAGCCACACCTTTGGGATATTAAACCTGATACCATATTTTACCGGCAGAGCTACTATGACTTTGATATTTTGCCTTAGATTATTTCTTTTGTTGAGATATGTGTGAAATAGTTTTATTCTCAAACCCAGCAGGTCCTTACTTGGAAATGTATTTTCTAGTTTCTACTGAAAACTGAAGTGTTTCTTATTAGTTTATTTCCCTATATCAGATGACAGGCAGGTGATAGCTAGACACCTCATAGAAACCAGTTGACACTTTCAAAATTCTGCCTAGATATTTTCTTACCCAAATTCTTAATTCAGTTGGGTATTTTTTTTAATTTTCCACATTACTATAGGTATCAGTGCTGTCTAACACTTTTTTCCAGCTTGGAAGCAATGGGGAAGTGATATGGGAAGTGCTGATCGGAAAGAACAGCAGCCCATAGAGGACAATTCACTTAGCAGAAGCCATTGAATGTCTTCGTTCAAAAAGCACTTCCTAACTTTTTCACATCCAGAGAAAGGGTTGCCTGTACTAGCAAAGGAGGGTCAACACAATGGAAGGGTTCAGAGTCCTAAGCTTGAAATGTTATCAACACATAGAAATGATAATTACTGAAAGAGATAGATACACTGACTTGATCATAACACACTCTATGCATGTAAAAAATACACGTACTCCATAAATACATAAAACATTATATATCAACAGAATAAAAGAATGTATTTTAAAAATTGCCCAAATGACTCTATTATAGCAAGTTTCCAGGGCTTGTTCCCAGTCAATACCTTAGCTTGTACATTATCCTCTGCAAGATTATGAATATAATTTGTGGAATAATTCAACGACCTGTAGAAGTTTGTGACTGGAGTTTGTATTTAGTCTTTAGAAAGTCACTTCTGTTGCAATATCAGACAATGGTTTCTTTCAGGGCAGTTATAGAAGCTTTTGGATCCTTACCAAAGTCTGAGGAGAATTAAAAGCCTTATGCTTTCATTTAATTTCTCCAAGTTCTTCAGTGTACCTAATTGGAAGTAATCTATTATATGCCATATATTCAATTATGTCATTATTTTCACTGCTGCAGCATTTTTTTGGTCACCTAATTCTATAGGCAATTGCAACCTCTTCATAGTGAAAGCCTCCATAATTTCACATCCAAGCATTTGAACATGTGCTTTGCATTGCTGTTGGCCACAATGCACAAAAGTTGGTAAGAAAAATTGAACATGGCAAAGGCAAAAACTAGGACAAACTGGAAACTACTGGCACATCTCATTGCCTCTAAAAATGATGCATTCCAAGTCTAGTGTCTATTGCTTCATTTACACATCTCAAATCTCATACAACTTTCTTCCTTTTTCTTTTCCTCTTTCTTTATTTTTGGCTAATATTAACTTAGAATGAAGGAGAAAGAACAGAGCTTCTCAGAAATGCAATTTCAGCTGAGATTAATGTGCTTTCAAAACCACTGCAGTGGATCCATTTAGACAAGTACTAACTTAGCCAAGTTGTCACAGACAGGACTGTCATACTTTTATGAGCTTTTTTTGAAAGGGAGTTTTGCTCTTGTTGCCCAGGCTGGAGTGCAATGGTGCAATCTCGGCTCTCCGCAACCTCTGCCTCCCGGGTTCAAATGATTTTCCTGCCTCAGCCTCCTGAGTAGCTGGGAATGCAGGCATGTGCCACCACGCTCAGCTAACTTTATTTTTAGTAGAGACGGGGGTTTCTCCATATTGGTCAGGCTGATCTCGAACTCCTGACCTCAGGTCATCCGCCTGCCTTGGCCTCCCAAAGTGCTGGGATTACAGGAGTGAACCGCCACACCTGGCTTTTATGAGCCTTTTAGGTCCTCAATGTTTGTTAAAATTTATCAACCTTGTTTTCACATTATCATAAAATTTCTTTTAAACAAAATGAACAAAAAATATCCATAGTTATTTTCAGGATGTTAAAGAATTAGAAAGATTAAAAGGAAAAAGCCGTTCACCATTCAGGTGACAGGCCTGGAAGACATGGAATCAAGAGTTTGAGAAATGGCGGTAATAAACATTATGAATGGAATCTACAGCAAAGTTAGAAAGGATGATAAGGAGGTGCTGGGATTTGAGTGTGGAGCCCTAAGACATGGCAGTACCATAAATGAAGAGGTTTTGTGGTCTGTGGCAATGATGGTGGTGGTGGGGGTGTGTATGTGTGTGTTGGTGAGTGAGTGTGTGTGTATGTGTGTCTAGTATGCAATATGAAACTGTTTCTTGAGTCGTTCTTGAATCTGAGTCTTTGCAGTGTGTCAATGAGAGATTTTTAAAAAAGAGTGCTTTGTACGTAGCCTCATATAGAATCTATTCATGCCAACAACTTATTAAATTTTAAGCCTTAGGTTTTAGAAAAATAGTTTTATGTTATTTTTGAGGTTTGCCATTCTATGAAAAATTTAAAATAAAAACAAAATGAAATTGCTCTGTTATCAAAGTGAATACCTTTGAATGACTACCCAAGATAGTTTAATGTATAAAATGAGTATTATGAGGTCTTCTTAGGAAAAGCACTAGATAGCTGACGGAGGAGCCAGAAAAAGTAAAAGAGTTAATAATTAATTTTACCTAGCCATGCTTATAACCTGTTAGAACTTAAAGTCTTGCAGATTCGGAGATGGTGAAAGATTGTATAAAAAATCACGGGCACAGGAAAGCCACAGTGAAATCAGATGCTAAAAAGCATTGTAGTGAACAAATATATCTCAAAAAGAGGGCATTGCCTTTACCTTTTGTAGTGTGTTGCAATCTCTCACATGATTTCGAACAGGTGATGAGAGACAGGAAAAAAAAAATGTGCTTTTGTTGCTTGCAAGTCAGCTTTCTCTCCATTAGTTTTTTTCCCAGGTGCACATATGAACTTTACATCAGGTCAGTGTTCAGTTAAGGCAAGAGCTTCTAGTTATAGTGATGGCGTGATTCACCCTTTAATGCAACTTTTAATGAACAACTACAGGGATTTTTCTGGGAAAGCTGGACTAAAGGAAAGCTAGTCACAGAGAGTACTGGTAAGCCTTATTAGTCGGGATAACAGTTTTACATAAGTAAAGATATATAAACAGGTATTGATCTTACAACTATAGCTCTGTTTTTTGTTGCTTGCTTTTTGCAACAAACATGATTGTTCCTCTGTGCAAATGAGCCCCTGTTGTCTCTCTCTCTTCTTATAAGGGTATCAATCATATTGGATTAGGGCCCCACTTTCAATGTTTCATTTTAACTCAGTAACCTTTTTTAAAGACCCTATCTCCAAATATACTTAGGTATTTGAGGTACTGGGAATTGGGACTTAACATAGGAATTTTGGAAGATGCATTTAAACCCATAAGAAACTTTTAAAATTAGAAACATGAGGTCAGTGCATGTAGCTTTTTTTTTTTTTTTTGCAAATACCTTGATGAAATCATGTATGCATATTCAAATAAATTATTAAAATTATGCTTCACCCAGCTTTCATGATGCGTATTTTGTTTTTGAGTCTCACAATAGCATGGGATTCTTGTTAGTATCATTATTTTTAATAAGATGGAAAAGATCAAAGAGATTAAGTGAATTGCCTTTTTCATTAAGGGAGGAAGTGGAATGCCAGGATTTGACCCTTGTTTTGCTGACTTTAGTACTCTTCTGACTTTACCAACCTCTGGATTTTATTCAGGATATGTTAAGAACTTGTGAATCAACATCAGGAATTGGCAGATGGTACCGAGCTATATACATTATTCAGTTTAATTACATTTAATTGGAATGATCAAGATGGGCATGTGCAGGAACATAGATAATATGTATTTAAAAGCTCACTACGCTTATTAATGTGAGATTTGAATAGTCCATTAAATGGTATTTTTCAAAACCTTAATTTCTTATAAGCTCTTCTTAGAAGTTTTCTTTAATTAGAAACTTGATTACAAAATTGAATTTCTACAAATGCACAGTGTGTACCCAATTCTAGTTTAGTGTTTATCGTAAAAGATGCACATAATATAGTTTTAAAATTAAACTGCCAAAAGTAGCCCTCTATCTTTAAAAATTATAAGCTATGAATTAAACTAGTTATCTAAAAGGAATACAAATCACATTGGCTTTCATGGATTGTTAACATGTGATGTGGCATTGAATTATTGCCATGGTGAACATATTAAATGAAATTCCCAAAACCTATGAGGTCCCTTAACTGAAGTTATATACATTCATCAAGTTAAATTGAAAAATAAAAATAAAAGAGGAAAATTTCTTAGTCACTCCTTAGTAATGGAACCAAATAGGACTCCTGAACATTGACTTCCAGGTTTTGTCACACAAAGGCAGAAGCAACTATTCTACAGTTTCTACCTTATGCTTGTGATCCTCATTCTTGTTTGATTTTCCTAGGTTTGTTGCAATTGTATCTCTCAAACCCACCCTTTTAGTTAGGTTACTTGTTCTAACACTCTCCCTGTCTTTGTCTTTGATTCCGTTTGGTACATTTTTCCCAACCTACCACAGACAATGGGCACATCACACTTTATCCCAGTGCTTAGCACATGGCACAGATCACTGCATTCTAACTTAGGTCCAGTGGCTGAGTAATTGAAAGCTGCAATTCTTTAAGTGTCTATGGTTTACTGGGCAACAAACTAGGTGATTTATATCAATTTATTCCTTTAAACAACCAAAGAGGGGAAATTCAGTATTTATAATTTGACTATTATTTTCAGAAAGTTGAGAAACAGATCATTTAAGAAGCTTGTTCAAGCCATTTACATAGCTAAACTAATAACTTTATCTGTACATTGAAATGTCGTCAAAGGAACATTGACATTGTAGAAAAGTAGAGCTTCATTGACATATTAGGTCTGTCATTTACCATTGAAATCTTAGTTTACTCATCTTTAAAATGAAAAGATAAATGATGTCTATTATAGAATATTGTAAGAATTAAGTGGAGAAAATAGGCAAAGTTCTTATAATATTATTTGGAACAAGGTATATCATCAATCATGATAGCTTTTGCACTTTTATGATTGCACTATTATCCCACCATTTAGCACTGCTGAATTACTCCAAGAATAAATAGGGTTGCCCTGGGATAATAGCAGCTGCCTAAATCTGAATTTCTCCATGTCTTCCCAGATATGCATAATATAAATAAAATAAAAAAAGAAATATGAAATAAAAATGCATATGCTTTACAGTTTAGCAACAGCAGGATGCAAAGATTTTAGCAATTAAAATTATTTACAGAGAAAGAAACACAAAATTTCGGCAGTGCATCCTGTGGGTGCAAAGAATGACAGAGAAGGGTCTTAGAGACTCTGCAAAAGAGGCAAGGGGAATGAAGGACTTAGACAAAGTACAGGTAAAGTCACCAACAGAAAGGCTAAAACTAACTTCCAAACACTTGGACACACATCTGGGACTTCATAGTTCACAATGCTGTTAGGTTGGTGCAAACGTAATTGCAGTTTTTGCCATTTGATATTGGAATACATTCTTAAATAAATGTGGTTATGTTATACATCATTTTAATGCGCATTTCTTGCTTTTTTTTGCTAATGACTTATTACTTGCTGTTTATTTTATATTTATTTTAGACTATGGAAATGATGTTAGACAAAAAGTAATTTTGAGCGATTTTCTTATTTGAGTTCAAAAGGGGTCATAAAGCAGTGGAGACAATATGCAACACCAACAATGCATTTGGCCCAGGAACTGCTAACAAACTTACAGTACAGTGGTGGTTCAAGAAGTTTTGCAAAGGAGACGAGAGCCTTGAAGAGGAGTGTAGTGGCTGCCATCGAAGGTTGACAATGACCAATTGAGAGCAATCATCAAAGCTGATCCTTTTACAACTACACAAGAAATTGCCCAAGGACTCAATGTCCACCATTCTATGTTCGTTCGGCATTTGAAGCAAATTGGAACGGTGAAAAAGCTTGATAAATGAGTGTCTCATGAGCTGAGTGAAAATTAAAAAAAAAAAAATGTTGTTTTGAAGCGCCGTTTTCTCTTATTCCACTCAATAACAACGAACCATTTCTCAATCAGACAGACATGGGAGGAAAAGTGGATTTTGGGAGGGCGGGATATGAGGGAGAGGATTAGGGCAAAGAGCTAATGCATGCTGGGCTTAATACCTAGGTGATGGGTTGATAGGTGCAAACCACCATGGCACACGTTTACCTATGTAACAAACTGTGTAAGAAACCTGCACATCGTGCCCAAGTCCCCCAGAACTAAAAAATAAAGATAAAAAGAGAAAAGAAAATTAGATTTTATACAACAACCGGCAATGACCAGCTCAGTGGTTCGAACAAGAAGCTCCAAAGCACTCTCCAAAGCCAAAGTTGCACCAAAAAAAAGGTCACAGTCACTGTTTCGTGGTCTATTGCTGGTTTGATCCACTACAGCTTTCTGAATCCCAGTGAAAGCATTACCTCTGAGAAGTATGCTCAGCAAATCAATGAGGTGCACCAAAAACTGCAATGTCTGCAGCCGGCATTGGTCAGCAGAGAGGGCCCAATTCTCCACGATAACACCCAACTGCACATCTCACAACCGACCCTTCAAACATTGAACGGATTGGGCTATGAAGTTTTGCCTCATCTGCCATATTCACGTGACCTCTTACCAACCTGCTAGCATCTTCAGCCATCTTGACAGGGAAAACCCTTCCACAACCAGCAGGATGCTGAAAATGCTTTCCAAGAGTTCGTCGAAGCCTGAAGCATGGATTTTTATGCTACAGAAATAAACAAACTTATTTCTCATTGATGAAAAATGTGTTGATTGTAAAGGTTCTCACTTTGATTAATAAAGATGCATTTGAGCCTAGCTATAATGATTTAAAATTAATGGTCCCAGACCGCGATTACTTTTGCACCAACCTAGTAGCTACATAAAAGGGATGTAAATCACAAGTGGCACCCTTAGAGAATCATTGCTTCTGGTAGAAGAAGAGATATATAAAGAAAAGAATACCCATTGGAGACAAGACAATGACGAGAAAAAAAGACATTTAAGAGGGGAAAAATGAAGCCCTGCTAGACTAAGGAAAAACTGTAAGATATTCTAACCACTCTTTTTTCCCCACCACCACTATTAGTGATCTCACCATTAAAGAAACTACATTTACTAAAAGGAGCAAACAAGGTATGTGCTCTTAAATTAGAAAGACTTCATGAAACACCAAGAAGTAGAAAAACCTCAGACTAACTTTGTATAAAGCTGCTGTATTAAGTATAGCGAGAATAAAAATAAACTGATTATAAAGTTTTTCACAACAAAAGAACTTCAAAATGGAAGGCAATTGTGACACACCTTTCTAAATCCTCAAACAAGCAAAAACAAATGTTAAACAAAAATGGAATACAAAAATTCAAAAATTAAGAGTGGATTTGGATCAAATATTGAAAAAAGGGATTAAATACAATCAGAGTTGATTCAATGAAAGGAAAAAATAAGTTGAAATAGAGTCAATTTTAACTTTAAAATGAAAAATAGGAATTTCTGAAAATAATGATGAAAAAAATACAGAACTAATGTCACACATTTTAAGTGGTGACCTTAGATTCCTAACTAAAAATGCTAGAAAAAAAAGTGATTAAAAAGAAAACACCATAAAGAAAATAATACATGTTAGAGAACAAAAAAAGCAAATAATAGAAAAGTAGCTGATCATATTATAAATGAAATCATGGTTTCTGAACAAAGAAGACAAATGAGTAACTAATTTGATTAATAACGGGAGAGAGAGCACCAATATAAAAAACTAAAAAAAATGAAAAATATCCACACATAAGAAATTTTAAAAATCATACATTACTACTTGGTATACTACTATACAAATATGAAAACCTAGATGAACAAAATAACTTCCTAGGCAAATATACTTTTCCAAAATAAATCACAACAGAGGATTAAGAAGACCAATTTCCAAATACATGGAAATATAGAAAGTTATACAGCAGATACTTCATTGAAAAGCACTAGTACTAGATGGTTCTACAGAGACATTCAACAAATGTTTGAGGAAGAGGTAGTATTACTTCTAAATAACTTCAGACCATTACAAAAAATTCCAAATTCATTTTATAGACAAAATATAAATTTGCTACATTAAACGACGAAGATAGCACAAAAAAATAGGTAAATATCACTTATGAATATTGATCTAAGCTCTACTATAGGAAACTAGAAAAATAAAAACAATTAAAAAACAAAGTAAAAGAATGATTATAAACATAAGAGCAGAAATTAATAAAATATAAACTGGACAAATAATAGAAAAATCAATGAAATCAAAAGCTATTTTGTAATGGTCAATATAATGGATACAACTCTAGCCAGATTTATTAGGGATGAACATCATTGAAAACACTAGACTCAATTACAGTCAATGAGAGAATGTTACAAAAAGGTTAAGCCAGCATATAAACAACACAAAATTTATGAATTCTTCAAAAATAAAAAATTACAAAACTGTTCCAATCATAACTAGATCCTCTGAACAACCAGTATTTCTCAAAGCTTAAGAACCTGTAATTAAAATTCTCACTACAAATAAATCACTAGTAAAGAACACTAGTAAATACTAAAACAATTTAAAGAAGAAATATAACAAATTCTCTACTATTTATCACAAATAATAGATGAGGCAGGACGACTTTTAAACTCATTCCTTGAAACCAACATTATCCTTAATAATAAAGCAAAAAACATAAGAAAACTAGAGACTAGTACTCATCAACATAAATGCAAACATTCTTAAAACAATTAAGTGATTTTATATATATATATGATTATACATCATGACCATATGTGTGTTTTTTTTCCCCAGAAATGGAATATTCAATATTCAAAAATAGATTAATGCAGTTCCTCATATGAACACATAAATAATAAAAAAGATATGATTATTTCAATGGATGCAGAAGTAACATTGACAAAATTTTCAACCCTCATAAATGTAAACATTCTTTAAAAACTGGTAATGATGGCAGGGCGCGGTGGCTCACGCCTGTCATCCTAGCACTTTGGGAGGCCCAGACGAGTGGATCACGAGGTCAGGAGATGGAGACCATCCTGGCCAACACGGTAAAACCCCGTCTCTCCTAAAAATACAAAAATTAGCCAGGCATGGTTGCGCATGCCTGTAGTCCCAGCTACTCGGGAGGCTGAGGCAGGAGAATCGCTTGAACCTGGGAGGCAGAGGTTGCAGTGAGCCGAGATCACGCCACTGCACTCCAGTCTGGGGACAGAGTGAGACTCCGTCTAAAAAAAAAAAGAAAAGAAAAGAAAAAAAGAAAAACTGGTAATAATGTAAGGATATTAACTCAAACTTATAAGGGGCAAATATGTGAAACCTACACCTAACATCATACATGATGGTAAAGACTGAAAGCTTTCTCCAAAACACCAGGATCAAATTACCCTGGCAGTCTCAGTATTTACAGTGGCACTAGAAAAGATAATAAAAACATACAGACTAGAAAAAGTTATTTTAGGCAATGTAATTATATATTTAGACAGTCTTAAGGAATCTACACACAAAAAAATAATAAAACTAATTGAATTTAGTAGGCAGAAGACAAGGTTGTACACACAAAAAAACTGTAATTCTATATTCTAATAATGAACAGTTGTAAATTGAGGTTAAATACAAACCATCAACAAAAATATGATGTATAAAATACTTGTGGATAAATATAACAAAGTATCTATCAGATATGTGCACTGAAAACTACAAAACCTTGTTGAGAGAAATCAAATGTCTAATAGAAAAACATACCAATCAGGTTCATGAATCGAAAGACTCAAAATACATATCGTTGGCCGGGCACGGTGGCTCACGCCTGTAATCCCAGCTCTTTGGGAGGCTGAGGAGGGCGGATCACTTGAGGTCAGGAGTCCGGGACCAGCCTGACCAACATGGCGAAACCCCATCTCTATTAAAAAATACAAAAATTAGCCAGGCGTGGTGGTGGGCGCCTGTAATCCCAGCTACTCAGGAAGCTGAGGCAGGAGAATCACTTGAACCCGGGAGGAGGAGGTTGCAGTCAGCAGAGATTGTGCCACTGCACTCCAGCCTGGGCAACAGAGAGAGACTCTATCTCAAAAAAAAAAAAAAAAATTGTAAGCGAGAAAAACAACACCATTAAAAAGTGGGCAAAGGACATGGACAGACACTTCTTAAAATACGACATACGTGCAGTCAACAAGCATATGAAAAAAAGCTCAGTATCACTGATTATTAGAGAAATGCAAATCAAAACCACAATGAGATGTCATCTTACACCAGTCAGAATGGCTACTATAAAAAAGTCAAAATATAACAGATTCTGGAGAGGCTGCAAAGAAAAAGGGAACACTTACACACGTTGGTGGGAGTGTCAGTTAGTTCAACCATTGTAGACAGCAGTATGGCGATTCTTCAAAGAGCTAAAAACAGAATTACCATTTGACCCAGCCATTCCATTATTGATTATATACCCAGAAGAATATAAATCATTCTTCCATAAAGATACATGCACGTGAATGTTCATTGCAGCACTATTCACAATAGCAAATGAAACAGGAAATGTTCCCTTGTTCCCCTTGCAGGGCATGCGATGAGGGTGTGGCTCGCTTCGTCAGTGCCCCACTGCTCAAACCTCTAGGGGAGCATACAAAAGGGCAGAGGGTGTGGGGCTCCGACCCCACCGCAGTGTCTAGGCATAAATTGTTTACAGTTGAAGCCCCAGTGGGCAACCCAGGGTACTCTTTTAGCTTGCCATCTATAGGCGGCTTGTGTTAACCAGCTCAATTAGACCTCCTTTCTTATCACAAGGACAGAGGGATTTCTGTATCCCGGGGTTTCTTGCCTTGGTGGACCAGAAGAACTGGATCACACATGGGCTTGGAGAATGAGTACAAGGTTTTATTGAGTAGAAGTGGCTCACAGCAGATGGGGGAGCCAGAAGGGAGATGGTTTTCCCCTGAAGTCCTGCCGCGTGGTGGCCCAACTCTCCTCTGACCACTCCAGCCAAACTCCAGTTGTTCCCCTGGTCAATGGCCTGCTGGCCTGCCGGTGCCTGTCTTCGTGCTCTACCTCTGGCGGGCTCTCGACGACCAGCCACTCGTGTCTTCTTGGGCCCATGTGTTTCTCACCATGTTCAGCTTTCTCGGGTTTTTATAGGCCCAGGATGGAGGCATGGCAGGCCAGGGTGGTCTTGGGAAATGCAACATTTGGGCAGGAAATGCCTGTCCTCACCTAGGTCTGTGGGGATGGAGCCCTAGCCAAGGGGCCCACCTTTCTCTACCCAGCACTTCCCTTCTTCCATTCAATATCATTTAAAGGGACCACGCTCTTCCCTTCCCAGCACTCCTGTATCACAAAGACATAGAATCAACCTAAATGTCCATCAATGATAGATTGGATAAAGAAAATGTGGTACATATACACCACGGAATACTTTGTAGCCATAAAAATTAATGAGATCATGTCTTCTGCGGGAACATAGACAGAGCTGGAGGCTATTATCCTCAACAAACTAACGCAGGAATAGGAAACCAAATACCACATGTTCTCACTTATAAGTGGGAGCTAAATGATGAGAACTTATGAACACAAAGGAAACAACAGACCCTGGGGTCTGCTTGAGCTGGGGAGGGTGAGAGAAAGGAGGGGAGCTGAAAAGATAACTATTGGGTACTGGGCTTAATACCTGGGTGATGAAATAATATGTACAGACCAGGCACGGTGACTCACACCTGTAATTCCAGCACTTTGGGAGGCCAAGGTGGGCAGAACACCTGAGGTCAGGAGTTCAAGACCAGCCTGGGCAACATGGTGAAACCCCATCTCTACTAAAAATAAAAAAATGAGCTGGGCATGGTGGTGTATGCCTGTAATCCCAGCTACTCAGGAGGCTGAGGCAGGAGAATCACTTGAAATCAAGAGGCAGAGGTTGCAGTGAGCCGAGATTGTGCCACTGCACTCCAGCCTGGGTGATAGAACAAGATTCTGTCTCAAAGAAAGAAAAAAAAAATAAGAAATAATATGTACAACAAACCTCCATGACACGTGTTTACCTGTGTAACAAACCTAAAATACAAGTTTAAGAGAAGACAAGAAAAAAAAAGACAGTTCTAACCAAACTCTCTTTTAAATTCAGTGCAAGTTCAATCAGGCCGTGTGTGTGTGTGTGTGTGTGTGTGTGTGTGTGTGTGTACACCTGCAGGGATAAACAAGTTTATTCTACAATTTATTTGGAAATTCAAAAGACTTAGAATAATAAAAATGATTTTTACAAAAGAAGAATAAAGATAGAATATGTTACCTGATTCCAAAACTTATTTTAACTTAAAAGCACTTAATTAAATGTAGTATTGCTATAAAGATAGGTGCAAAGATCAGTGAAATTGAACAGATAATATGAACAGATAAATGAACTGCACATATAGTCTCAATTTATTTTTATAAAGATGTCATGGTAATTCAGTGGGGAAAATGATAAACTTTTTTTATTATTATTATACTTTAAGTTTTAGGGTACATGTGCACAATGTGCAGGTTAGTTACATATATATACATGTGCCATGCTGGTGTGCTGCACCCATTAACTCGTCATTTAGCATTAGGTATATCTCCTAATGCTATCCCTACCCCCTCCCACCACCCCACAACAGTCCCCAGAGTGTGAAGTTCCCCTTCCTGTGTCCATGTGTTCTCATTGTTCAATTCCCATCTGTGAGTGAGAACATGTGGTGTTTGGTTTTTTGTCCTTGTGATAGTTTACTGAGAATGATGATTTCCAATTTCATCCATGTCCCTACAAAGGATATGAACTCATCATTTTTTATGGCTGCATAGTATTCCATGGTGTATATGTGCCACATTTTCTTAATCTAGTCTATCATTCTTGGACATCTGGCTTGGTTCCAAGTCTTTGCTACTGTGAATAGTGCCGCAATAAACATACGTGTGCATGTGTCTTTATAGCAGCATGATTTACAGTCCTTTGGGTATATACCCAGTAATGGGATGGCTGGATCCAATGGTATTTCTAGTTCTAGATCCCTGAGGAATCGCCACACTGACTTCCACAATGGTTGAACTAGTTTACAGTCCCACCAACAGTGTAAAAGTGTTCCTATTTCTCCACATCCTCTCCAGCACCTGTTGTTTCCTGACTTTTTAATGATCGCCATTCTAACTGGTGTGAGATGGTATCTCATTGTGGTTTTGATTTGCATTTCTCTGATGGCCAGTGATGATGAACATTTTTTCATGTGTCTTTTGGCTGCATAAATGTCTTTTTTGAGAAGTGTCCGTTCATATCCTTTGCCCACTTTTTGATGAAAATGATAAACTTTTTAAGGAACCAGGTTGTATTAACTGCATATTCATTTGGGAGTAAAAAGAAGTTTGGCCATGAACTAATGTCACAAACATTAACCTAAAATAGGTCATAAAATGAATTGTAAAATATAAAGCTATATAACTTTTAGTGGAATATATGTGAGAAAATTGTTGTCAATACAAGATAGGCAAAGTTGTCTTTGACATGACAAAAAGTAAAAAACTATAAAAGAAGAAAAAAGTAAAAAACTTTTAAATTCATCAAAATTAAAGACTTCCACCTTCTGAAAGACACTTCTAAGGAAAATACCAAAGACAAGATGCAGATTGGGTAAGAAATATCATAATACATTAGATGAAAATGTATTTGTAATATATTAAAAACTCATAACTCTGTCATAAAAGAAAAACAACCCAATAAAAATGGGCAAAATAGTCAAACAAAAATTCACTAGAGATGTTATACAAATGGCCAATATAAGCACATAAAAAGGAACCTAATGTCAACAGTCAGTTCAACATGAACACACGTATTGAAACTACAATGATACACCATCACAAAACCACAAAAATGTGTAAAAAGATTGACAGCACTTAGTATTGGAGAGGATATGAAGAAAACTGAACTCTCATACACTGTCGGTGGAGATGCAAAATGTTTCAGCCACTTTGTAGTAGAGTTTGGCAGTTTCATATAAAATTAAAGACACACTTACCATAAGAATAATTAATTTTACTCCTAGATATTTCCCCAAGAGAAATGAAACTATGTGTCTGCACAAAGGCTTGTGTACAAATATTCATTTTTTTGAGAGAGGAGGATCTTGCTGTGTTGCCCAGGCTGGAGTGCAGTGGCTATCAACAGGCATGTTCATAGCTCACTGCAGCTTCTAACTCCTGGCCTCAAACCATTCCCCCACCTCAGCCTCCTGAGTAGCTAGTATTACAGGAATGTGCCACTGCACCCACTGTGTACAAACATTCATAATAGGTTTACACATAATAACCGAAATTTTCCAAAATCAAAATGCCATCAAGAAAGAATTAATCAACAAATTGCACATTCATAAAATAGAATAATATTAACAGCAATAAAAAGTACTGATTGACTAGTAAAAATTACTATATATTAATCATTAAAGACACTAAGCTAAGCAAAAGAAGTCAGGCACACACAAGTAAGTACAGGGTAATTTTATGTGTATAAAATTTTAGAATTGACAAAAATATATAGTGATACAAAGAAAAACATTTTTCATATAATGGAAGTTTTCAGCAATCATGCAAAAGGACAACAGAGAAATATGAGCATAACAAAAACGTTCTATATTTTGATTCTGTTGTGTGCTTTTCTCAAAATTTATCAACCATTCAATGCATCTAAATGAGTGTATCTTATGTAAAATATACTGTAATAGTAATTTGACCAGGATCCATATTGACGCACATAGATTAAAATTCCGAATAAAATGATTTCTGAGTCTGTATTGATTGCAGATAAATAAAGAGAAAGACAAGTATGCTATAAACAAATCCTTTTCTAACAATAGAATACTGACTAAAACATACAAAATAGATTATAAATTGGAAAATTACTATTTTAGAATGAAGGCAGTAAATTTCATTCCGGTGAAAATTATCAATAGATGATAAAACCATAGAGTGGAAAGGTTATTGAGGAACAGGAGATTTACAGTCTCCAGTAGCACCCCCACAGTAACTAAATGGTGGAGGAATCATAAAATACAATAGCGCCCTTTATCTGTGTTTTCAGTTTCTGCAGTTTCAGTTAAGTGTGGTCAACAGTAGTCAAAAAATATTAAATAAAAATTCCAAAAACAAACAATCCATACTGGCACAATGGCTCATGCCTTTAATCCCAGCACTTTGGGAGGCTGAGGCAGAGAATTGCTTCAGGCCAGGAGTTCAAGACACCAGCCTGGGTAACATAGTGAGACTCTATCTCTACAAAAGTTAAATTAGCTGGGTGTGATGGTGTGAGCCTGCTGTCCCAGCTACTCAGGAGGCTGAAGCAGGAGGATCACCTGAGCCCAGGAGTTGGATGCTGCAGTGAGCTATGATCACACCATTGCACTCCAGCCTCGGTGACACAGTGAGACACTCTGAGACACTGTCTCTAAAAAACAAACAAACAAACAAAACATAAATTGCCCTTCTGAGTCGCATAATGAAATCTTGCTTTATCCTGCTCTGTCCTGCCCGGGTGATGAATCCTCCGATTTGTTCAGCATATCTGTGCTGTATAGTCTACCTGCCTGTCTGCCCGTTAGTCACTTAGCAGTCATCTTGGTGATCAAATCAACTTTTCATTTACTTGTGTTCAAGTTTTACTTAATAAGGGCTGCATGTGCAAGAGCAGTGATCCTGGCACATTTTTATAATTCTTCTATTTTATTGTTAGATGTTTTTAATGTCTTACTGTGTCTAGTTTATAAATTAAACTTTACCATAGGTATAAATGTTAAGGAAAAAAACACAGTATATATAGGGTTTCATTGTATCCATTTCAGGCATGCACTGGGGGTCTTGGAACATATCTTCAGTGGATAAGGGGGGGACTACTGTTCCATAACAAAGTGTGGTGAATAGACTCTTAGATGGTGCCTAGTTATACCCTCCTCCTCATAGTTATGTCATGTGTAACTCCATCTCTTCAAGTGTGGGCAGCATCTGCCATTTAAATCAATAAAATAGAGTAAACTAGGTTATGGACACCACTTACAATATTATATTACATAAAGTTGTAATCCATCTTGCTAGTAGACTCTTTTCCTTCTTGGTTTTGATGAAGCAAGCTGCTGTGTTATTGGTTACCCTATTAAGAGTTCCATGTAGCTGACAGAGGTCTCAGACCTTCAACCAGCAAGAAATTGGGGCCTTCAGTCCTATTGCCTGCAAGGGACTGAATTCTTCCAATAACCATATGAGCTTTAAGGAAGATCCTTTTTTGCAGTTGAGCCTTGAAAGCATACTACGGCCTTGACCAATGCCTTGATTGCACTAATGAGAGATTCAGAAAGAAAGGACTCTGTTGAGCCATGCCAAGGCTCTTGGCCCAATGAAGCTGTCACATAGTAAATGTGTTATGCATTTTAAGCATATAATTTTGTGGCCATATGGTTATGCAATAACGGATAATTATTACATCAAGCAATCAAAATCAACATCACCAATAAGAGTAAGTAAAAATCATATATTATCAGATGTCATACTCGAAAAAAAGATATAATATCATTTATAGAATGTCTCATCCCAGATGCCTAACTTGAATCCATTTATTGGGAAATATCAGAAATAGCCAACTTGAGGTATAATATATTAAAAAATTGGTTATATTATTTTTGAAAATATCAATTGCATGAAAGACAAATATGAAGAACTGCTCAAGGTTAAAGAAAATAAACAGACATGACAGCTGAATACAATTTGTAACCCTAGATTAGATCTTGTACTGGAAAATAAGTAACTATAAGGAATATCGCTGGGACAATTGATAAAATTGGCATATTCAACATAGAGCAGAAAAAAAGTGTATTGATATTAAATTTCTTGAATTTGACAACTGTATTGTGGATCAATACAGTTGTGTAATCAAACAATCTTAGTCTTGGAAAATGCATGCTGAAATATTTTAGGTTTATAAAACTATTATATGATTTTAAATAGAGGATGGTAAACCAAACATGGAAAATGTTAAAAAATGAATAAATCCGTACAATGAATATTCAGTCCTCTTGTTTAATTCTTGCACACTTTCTGTATGTTTAAAATTATTTTAGGATTATAAAAATAATTATAAATAGGCATTTACTTCTTCCTCAACATATTGTATTACATTTAGAAAACTACTAGAATTTACAGTTTCTCAGGATATAACCAAGAGACTGTCACATTTTGACCCCTATGTATATTTAGTGAAAAATACACAAACTATTAATGCCTTTTAGCTTCTACTAGCTTGCAGAAATCTTGACATGTAAAGGCAGGAAAAAATGTAATTTTTCTCCATTTATAGTTTAGAAAGTATCCTTATACATTTCATCAAAAGCTAATTAAAATTCCATGCCACTGATAAAAAGAGCATGAACATCAAATTTAGCAAAGGTAGACAAATCACTGGAACACTGGGAATTGATTGAGGGGGAAAAACTTGAATATTGCAGCGAAACTAGGCCATCTATTCACTTCAACAGGAATTGATTGCTCACAATTTATCTGCAAGGCTGCCTCCGAAAAGAGGGGGAAAGCCACAGTATCATTTTCATCATCATACAATTATTTACATGTTAATTGGTAATTAAGGGTGAAAATATGAGTAGCACTGAAAAGTACAAAGGGAAGGATCAAAATGGGATATGGAAAGAGGAAAAATTTACATGCATAGAAGGCACAAATAAACCATTTTCGCCTTAAAACCTCTGTTTCTCTAATCCCTGGACTGAAAATAAAAGTAATTGGATTTTGCGAAGTTACCATTGCTCCTCTCTAGTAATTACAGTGAAAGTTAAAGTTTTGAAGCTTATATACACTCTAAATTATTTTTCTCTACAATTTCCAAAATGTTATTTTATGACACAGCAACTTCAAAATCAAAAGAATGTTTAAAAATTGTTGGCAGGTAAGATGGCTCAAGAGATTTGTAATAGGTTATACACTGCCTTTGATTTCTAGGTCATTGCTTTAAATCCATTCTACTTAATGACTATTGGCCATCAAAGTGAAATGAACTGGTGCGCTTAGTGGAGTTCCACAGTTGTTTGTATTATATACTACTTTTTCCAGTTTGTAGGTAAATAGAAGCTATAGTCACCCCTTTGCCTCAGCAAGCAAGTTAAGAGGTTCAAGTTAAGAGTGCATAGGTTTAAAATTGAGATGCGATCACTTTTGACTGTGTGATGATCAACAACTAGCTTGCCGCCTTTTAGCCTTGATTTTTCTATTTCTTAAATGTATACATAAATGAGTGTGTCTAATAAAATAATATTGTCTACCTCACTGAATTGTTTTATTAAATGTATAGTTTATGTGTCTATAGCAATAAAACATACTGAGGGCCTACTAAGGGAAAGATACCACAGTTCACACTATTTAATTTAATTTTATGTAATGCTTATAAGTCACTTGTGAGGTAGTTATTCTTATTTTTAAACTAAATGTTAGAACAGCCTCAGAAGACAATATACACCTGCCCTAAGTCATGTAGCTTTGAAACTGTCCTAAAGCTGAAAATCATTCATTTAATCATAAATTAACAAACATAAAGAAATATGAATACTAAATATAAATAAATATAATGAACAAATATAAATAAATAATTTTTATTTTTGTTAATCAAAAATTAACAAATATAATCATAAATTAACAAATATAAATAAATATAACAAATATAATAACAAATATAAGTAACCCTCGCTTGTGTCAACTACAGTCTAATACACTGAAGACACAGTGAAGGGAAAAAGAAATAGAGACCGACGCCTCCAGAGCTAATATTTAGAAGGCAAAGCAGAAAATAAACACACATATTAATAATAACATTTCAGATACTAATAATACTATAAAGAAATATAAATTAGTGAAAAGGGAGTGAAGTGGTATATTTTGCATGGATTTACCCAGAAAAGACTCTAGAGAAGGTGACATTGAAGCAGAGACCTGAATAATGGAAGGAACCCTGTGGCACAAATCTGATCTGAGAGCCCAAGAGCTTTTCCATCAGTAGGAAGTGTAAAGTTTTACGGCAGGAATGATCTCTCATTTTCAAATGTAGAGCTCTGGATCTATTTTTATATCCATATAAGCTAAATGCTCCCAATAGTGAGACTCTTATAACCACTTTACTAAATGTTAAACAAATTAATTGTTTTCCTCTCATAATATAATGATCAGCTATTTCTACCTGACGTATCAGGTATTTTGAGGACAACCAACAGTAAGCTACTAATTTGAGGAATTAAAAAGTTAAACATAGAAGAATTGGTAGATATTGAGAAACTAGTCATACACTGTGCATATATCAGAAGTAAATTAATATCATTTTTAGTATCATTAATCTTATTTAATACCATTAATATCATAAAGTAATATGATTGTTACTTTTACCTGGCACTGTGCTAAGAGACTTAGGAATATTATCTCATTGAATTACCAAATAACCCTACAACATGTATATCACAACAGTATTAGGATCATGATTAAAATATTAATATTAAAATGAGTCATCCATTGTATATTACCTCATTTGACTCCCTTAACTAACAGCTCTCTCATAAATGTCATTATTGTCAGAAGCCAAGAAGAGAGAAGGCTTTCCCTTGCCTG